>NC_000006.12:159161699-159313214 GCF_000001405.40 Homo sapiens
GGAGTTGCTGCTTATGCATGCTGGGTACAGCCAGGGTCTGGGTAGGAGTGGGCTGCAGCAGGGAATAAGTCCAAGCTTACACTGACTTCTTGGAGAGGGCAATTGTATTAGTCCTTTTTTGCACTGTTATAAAGAAATACCTGAAACTGGGTACTTTATAAAGAAAAGAGGTTTAATTGACTCACAGTTCCACAGGCTGTACAGAAAGCATGGCTGGGGAGGCCTTAGGAAACGTACAGTCATAGTGGAAGGCAAAGGAGAAACAAGCACATTTACATAGCAGGAGCAGGAGGAAGAGAGTGAAGGGTGGGAAGTGGGGTGCTACACACTTTTAAACAACCAGATCTCACGAGAACTCTACCATGAGACAGCCCTAGGGGATGGTGCTGAATCATTAGACACCACCCCAATGATCCAATCACCTCCTACCAGGCCCCACCTCCAACGCAAGGGATTACATTTCAATATGAGATTTGAGTGGGGCACAAAGCCAAACCATATCACCAATTCTACCAAGCTTGTACTACTGAATAAAGAAGATCCTTCATGTATGCATGCTTGTACACATGAACTCACAAATGTTTACTGAGTTCCTGCTATGATTCAGGTCGCATGCCAGGCTATAGCGATACAAGGCGAGCAAAAACAGATGTGATCCCTGTCCTCATGGAGCTTACAGTCAAGCTGGGTGATGGATGAGTAGCTATGGAGATAAGCATGAAAATTCAGCCACGGGAAGGACCACAAAAGCAAGTTCTATGGTGCTGTGAGTGAGTAGAAAGGGGAGATTTTACCTGGTCAAAGGGTTCCAGGGAAACTCTAATAAAAGCTGAGCTTTGAAGGATAGGTGGAAAGGCAGAAAGGGACGGGGGATGGGATCAGTTGGTGCAAAAACCCTGTGAAGAGGCAGCAAGGTGACCGCAAGACTGAAAGGGCAGCGTGACTGGAGTGACCGTGGATGGGATCTTCTATGGAGAAGGGGGAAGGAGACTTGAAAAGGCCTCAGCACTGCAGAGGAGATGGAGGAACAAAGGTAGGAGAAGCAGAAGACAGGTCAGGACAAGCTCCAGTGTCAGAAGTCAGGGAAAGATGCTTCCAGAACAAGGAAGAGGCCTGTAGGCTGAATGCGCTGAGGGCTCACAAAATCATGATTGAATCTAGACAGAGAGTAAGGTCCCCTCCCAGAGTGGAAGCTACCTATAAAACAGCTCAAGCCTGCTTTTTCATTTCAGGAGCATCATATGAATAACAATTCAGTACTATCTGTGAGCTGTGTTAGGGAAGCACATTGATTTGGATGCTACAGAATCACAGAATATTTTCTCCTAGATGTTTTTGTGCAGATTCTAAAGAATGTAAGGAAAATCGACTTTGCTTCTCAAGCGTGGCCAGAGAGCAATAGTTATAATGTGGATGCAGAAGATGGTGCTTTTTCTTAAGTCAGGGAAATCGAACTGTAAATAAAAGAGGCCCTCATCCTAAATGCCTCCCTGTCAACATTTTATTACTTACGAATTCAACACTGGAGAATTCTTGTTTTGATGGCCTATTGTGCAAAGAGCACTGTGTTTGCAGGTGGAGTATCAGGGTTTGCCTCCTAGCTGTGTTATTCCTTAACTGCATGAACATTGGCTGGACAAAGAACCTAAGTTTCTGCCTCTGTAAAATGGGCATAATAAAGTGTCACCCTCCCTGATGGTTCATGTGGATGAATGAGCGCACACGTTGTGACTATGTGAGTTGCAGAGCACTACATCCTTATGGAGAAAAGATCATAAAGCCTTATCAGTCACTTATTTACATGCTAGTTAGAAGGAGGTGATTGGATCCTTGAAGGAAGGCTTGATGGGTGGTGAGAAGGGTGCAGTATGAAAGGGCATGATGTGCTTGGGTAGGTGCCTTAGAGGGAGACATCAGCCAGGAGGGAAAGGGGCTGGGATCACCACCGGCGAACTGTCTACTTCATCACTTCCTCCAGGCCAGTCACACTGCACAGATGGCAAAGCCCCCGTCAGCTGTCAGCTGGTGCAGATGCCATTTCACAGGTGACCACAGTCTGTGCTCTGATCATGGGCCAGGCACACAGGTGGGGTTCATTATGGGACTACTGAACAAATGATGAATGTCCCCATTTCCAGAGTGAGTGCCTATCTGTCCTCATGCTATCTGAGGCATGGGGGGCTTGAGTGGCATGCCCTGTACACACCAGCATGGGCTTGGGTGGGCAGCTCTGCACTGCTCATGGACTAGCAGTTGTGGTCTGCTCTTGACAAGACGCTGGGAATCAGAAAAATGCAGCCTGGGAAGGCGGCCAGACATATGTTTTCTTAGCATAATGCCGGGCCAGCTTTTCAAACTGCCAACTGCAACTTGAAGACTACATTTTGAGCTCTTGTTCCACTCAGATTTACTAATGTCTCCTCCCCAAACTGTGCTCTTTTTAATTCCACAGGATTAGTGTGATTAGAGTGAACATACCCCTATGTCTGCCTATGAGAAGTAGACATAGGGTTAAAAATCTCCTTGGTGGGAAAATAAGTAAAGGAAGTGTTGCGCAACATTCATGAAAATTCCTTTAAGCTCCATGGCCTGAAGATTACAGCACTTGTCACATTGGATTGTGATTGTTTTCAGTTGTTTGTTTATCTGTTGCATTTGACTGTGAGCGCTTCGAAGCATGGGCTGTCTGTGTCTTAGTCACATTTGCACCCCCAGATTCTACTACATGGCATGGAACAAAAATAGGTGTTCAACAAAGGATATATAAAGGAATAGAAGAATGAATGATTTCTCCTGTCCCCATTGACAAGCAGTAGTTGGCAGAATTGGAATATCTTCTTCCATGTGTGGAATGTAGGCTGGATTGACCTGGGCCATTGGACAGAAACTTAGAACACAAATCTGTGAGTTTTTTAATTTAATCATGCCAACCATGCATATGTGAGGCTGGTGTCTGACACCTTAATCCTTTATGTTTCACTAATTCCCAGTAGATTTGTACAATAGAAGAGAATTGCCTTGGCACTGCCTTGCAGTGGAAACATGTTAGAACTTCTGTGCAGAGGAAGTGTGTTTTGGGCAATGATAGATTCATGGCAGGGTGTTTTTTAAGAAGCACCATTTCTTGTCTGCATCTTTGAAACTCTAAGAACATGAGTGATATAACATTGAGGTCTCATGTAGTTGTTTGCTAAGAGGGATTGGTCACTATCTGGATGATAAGGAAGTGTCTCCGATAAATCTGCAGTGGACACGGGGACATGGCGTGTGCAAAACAGACTTTTATTTGTCCTGTCTCCCCTGATCCTCATAGTTTTAATGAAAATGGGAGAGAGGGAAGGACCTTCTGAGAGTCACGTGTGGTGGAGAGAGATGTGTACTTGGGGTCAGAGGCTCAGACTGGACTCCCAGGCGCACCAGTTAAAGGGCCAAGCACATGCCACACGCCTTCTTGGAGCCTTGATTTTCTCCTGTAAAATCAGAATAGTGCCCCTAAAGTTGTTGTGAGAATCGGAACGAAATGAGTACTGTTCAAGAAAAGAAGTAAAGCATTATTTTATTATTTTATTTTATTGCCAGCTAGAAGCTATTTCTATCACCCTTCTCCCAGGTCAAGGCGAAACTGAGATGGCAGTGTCGACTTGCCTGCTTCTATTTTCTTTTCCCTTTTCCCTCTGTTCATAGAATCCTGGGGACTGTTGTGTTCCTCCAGATCTGCTGTGTCCGATTTATTGAGCTCCCCACAATCACAGCAAGTGCTGTAGGAGCACACTCTCTTTTGTTCTCCTTCTATGTAGTCTTTTAAAAATATCACTATTGTGTAATGGGTATTGTGTAGTGTCCTGCGGCGATCACAATATGCAGATATATTCAAATGTGGTGCTTAAAAAGGAATTAAAGAGCCACATGAGCCAAATTGAAGACTGAACAAGATTAAATGTCAGATGAATAATATGAGACACGCACTTTCAACGCTCTACTTGAGTCTGTACTGGAAGGTCATTTGAACTTGCTTCCCATTTATCCATATGAAACACGAGAATAGCAATTTAATTTACCCTATCACATAGGAATGCCACGACAATGTGTATGAGGAGTGCTGAACTCCTTGGATGTATAGTTATTTTAAAAATAACTAGAACAGGAAATAGTGTATATGAACACAAGCTGATCTGTAAAGCCAGAAAAGACCACAGAACTAAGGCAGACTAATAAGGCATTGATTTTAATGACTGGCCATCCATCCAGCCCCAGAGCAACCTCCACTCTGTTTGGTTTTGATGAACAAAATAGAAGCAACAATCAAGACATCAGGAAATTACATGAAAAAACATTTAAATCTTAAAATCTTTCACAGGACAACAGTATTGATATTGGACTCAAAACTGACAAGAAGGAAGAAAACTTCCGTGTGCTCATATTTTTGAGATGACCACGTTGAGAACAGATGACTGACTCCGAGTTCCATTTTCTTTAAGATATTTTGAGCCTAAAGGTAATAATACCTTTTGATTAAAACACACACTCTCATATTTGTAATGAAATCAGAATCAGAACTCATAAGTGTCAGTAATTTCATTTAATATCAAACAGCCCATGGTTGAGGGTTCTGAAACTCTAAAATTGGAAGTAATTTTGCATTGTGCTTCACTCTGAAATGTACCCCTAAGAAAGTTGCTCTAATAAGTATTCTGGGGAGGAAGGTAAGTGCACATGCATCTCCTGAGGATGCAGGGAAGGAAACTGATGTCTGTTGAGCTTTCACTGTGTGCATATAGAGATTATGGCATATGATTAGTTCATTACAATGAAACTAAAGAGTGACATCCTGAAATTACAGAAGTCACAATGGAGAGTTAACCAGCAGCATGAGAATAGTGTGACTCGGTATATTGCAAATCCTCTTTTTCTCCACATCCAATGAGTCAGAAAATCTCCCAAACCATACCTTTAAGATGCATCCAGAACCTCACTGGTTCTCGTGCCCCACTGCTGTCCATCATGTCCAAGCACCGTCTTGCCTCACTGGGATTGTAAGAGCCTGCTTACCCGTGTCTCCTCTGATCAGAATTCTCCAGTGTTGCCCTTCACCTCTCAGATTGAAAGCCTAAACCCTTCCTGCAGCCTGTAAAGTCCTCAGTGCTGCCTCCCCTTCTCTGCTTTTAACTTAACTCCTGCTATTCATCTGCTTTCAGTCACTGCTAATCCCCGGGGTCTACAGCAGTGCTGGGGACAGAGTAGATCACAATAAGTATTTGCTGAATGAATGAATGAATGGCAATTAACCTCAGCATTTCCTGGATATTACTGTGTTTGGTTCTGTGATGGCCTCTTTTGGGTGACAGATGAGCAATAAAGATAAGTCTTGGTTCTTGTCCTCTTAAGAACAGGGGGGAGTGCACTAGTCAAGACTCATTGGTTATAGAAAATAGAAATCTCATTCCAAGTTAGCAAAAGGGAATGTGCTGTCCCCAGAACCAGCGTTCAGAAAGCGCAGGGGTGAGGTGGAGCCCGGGACTCTTGCATCTGCCCGGCTCTTTTCTACCCACCTGGCCGCTCTCCATGCGTGGCTTCCTTCTCTCCAGCTGGTGTCCCTGGAGGCTGCAGCCAGAGCCACAGGCCCATCCTGGCTACTGCACTGGTGTTCGGTGGCCGCTGTAAGAAGTAATTACAAACGGGGTGGGTGGCTTAAACAACAGAAATCTGCTCTCTCAGTCTTGGAGGCCAGAAGTCTGAAATCAGTTCCACTGGCCTGAAGTCCAGCACAGGCTCTGGAGGAGCCTCTTCCAGCCTCTGGTGAGGGCTGCCAGCATCCCTGGGCTGTGGGTGCATCGTTCCCATGGCTGCCTCCGTCCTCACCTGGATTTCTCTTGTGTGCGTCAATCTCCCTCTCCTCTGTTTTATAAGTTACATACATGACTGCATTAGGGCCCACCCAGATAATCCACGATAATCTCTCTGTCTCAGCATGCTTAATTGCTTTTTAATAAACCATGTAAGGTGACATTCACAGGGTCAGGGACTAGGACAGGAATGTCTTTTTGGGGAGGAAGGCTGTGTTTCAGCCTGCCATGGCTACCATCCTTCCAAATCCACGAATGATGGGAGAAAGAGACCTTTCCACCAGCCCGTGTTAGAAGAGTCCCAACTCTGAGTGACCCTGTCTAGGCCACTGCAGAGCCCTGAGCCAGTGGGGAAGTGGGGCTTTGGGAAGGAGTGGGAGTAAGGAGGGGGCCTGTCACTTGGTTGGAGTTGGGGAGGGAGCTACCATTCCCCCAAAATAGGCAGAGCCGGGTGGCTGCTGGTGAGACAGAAACCACACAGCTCCATTAAATGGCATGTGGGGAAACATGATAACATAAGGGAGTAATGCAGGAAAGTGTGTTTGGGCTGGGCGTGGTGGCTCACGCCTGTAATCCCAGCACTTTGGGAGGCCAAGGTGGGCGGATTGCTTGAGCTCAGGAGTTGGAGACCAGCCTGGGCAACGTGGGGAAACCCTGTCTCTACAAAACATACAAAAATGAGCTGGGCATGGTGGCTGAAACCTGTAGTCCCAGCCACTTAGGAGGCTGAGGCAGGAGAATGGCTTGAGCCTGGGATATGGTGGTTGCAGTGAGCCAAGACTGCACCACTGCACTCCAGCCTGGGCGGCAGAGGCAGAGGGAGACCCTGTCTCAAAACAAAAAGAAAAAGAAAAACAAACAAACAAAAACCTTTGCTGGGAAGCAGGAGAGTTTCCTGGAAAGGAAGGCGGTAGGTTTACACCTTTCCTGGGTGCTCAAATTCAAAGAGATACTGTATTTCTGGTTTTCATCTCTTTGCAATTCATTTACCTTTTTTTTTTCCTCTCTGCAGAACACAAATCCGGTCAAGTTTTGGGTTGTCATGAGGGAGAACTGACATAGCGCTGGGCGGTGAGTTCAGCCAGGTTATCTCTGCGAGGACACCGGTCGGCGGCGGACAGCAGCACGCGGCGTCCAGGACCCGGCCTTCCTAGAGCTTAGGTCACTGTAGCCTCCAGGGGCGCTCCGAGTCCATCTGGAGGGCCGCGAGGCTTCCAGGCTGGAAGGAGGAATAGGGAGAAGGAGGAATAGGGAGACCTGGGGCAGTGTTACAATTACAGAAAAGGGAGAGGCGAGGTCCGCTGAGTCCTTGGCCTGGGCAACAAGGCACACTGAAAACTGGGTTCCTTTTCGACCCGCATCGTGCGCGCCCTAGAAATGACAGCCAGACGGAGCAGGGTCTAAGGACGCTGAAAACCCCTGACGTGGGCGCGCCGGGTGCGGGTAGGGACGTGGAAGGACTGGGCTAGCCACAGGAACTACAGCGCTGCGGACCGGGTGAGGGGTCCCGGCCCGAGTCCCCACTTGGGGCGCAGAGGTGTTTCTGTAAGGGGACAAAGGGCACTCCTCGGCGCGATGGGCGACTTCCCCAGCCAGAAAATGAGAGGGTTAGACGAGGGGAGGAACTTCCTCAGCCACTTGGCCCGGCACAGCGACCGCCCCAAGTTCAGAACCGCTAAGTCAGTCCGGGGCGCTCCGGCCCCTTCGTCCCGCGCCCCGCCCGCCTCCAGCCCGGGCCCCGCCGCCCCCGTCGCCCCTGTCGCCCGGGTCGCCCCCGCCGGCCCTGGCCCCGGCCCCGCACACCGGCAGGGGGCGCCCGAGCGCAGCTAAAAGGCTCGGCGGGAGGTCGGCGGCCTCAGTGGCGGAGCGCGGCTGCCGGTGTGCGGCCGGGAGCGATCGCCGCGGGGCAGGGGCGCGGCGGGCACCGCGCAGAGCGCGCAGAACAGACGGACGGCGGCGGGGACCCGACGGCGGCGCCTCGGCACTCCCCAGACTCCGGCCAGCGCCCCCCTGCCAGCCGCAAGCACCCAGCCCCGGCCCACCCCGGGCTCTCGATGGCCCCCGAGGCCGGGGCGACCCTGCGCGCGCCGCGCCGGCTGTCCTGGGCGGCGCTGCTGCTCTTGGCCGCGCTGCTCCCCGTCGCCTCCTCGGCGGCGGCCTCAGGTACGCGCCGCGCCCGGGCCCCCGGCGCTCCTCAGCTCCCCGCGCACCCTCCTGCGCTCGGGCCCCGTCGTCCCGCTCAGTGCTGGCTACGGGTCGTGTCACTAGCCTGTGCGTCCTCGTCACTCGCGGGTCGGGGCACTTGGCGCCCTGTGTGGGTGGCGGGAGCGGGGACGCCTCGGTGCCCGGGGACCGCAGCGCGCTGGCGTTTAACTTTGCCGTCGCCCGCCTTGGAGTCGGGAGGCTCCAGCCGTCTAAGTGTCCCGGGAGATTCAGGCACAGCGGGGAAAAAAGGAAAAGAAAGGCGACTTTCAGCGTGCGGACTGGGGTAATGCCTTTCTTTGCCCAGAATTTCTCGGGAGCGTAGGTGGTCATCCTACTTTCTCCGCGTTCACCTCTCGCGAGGCAGGATGACGGGCGCACTCGGGAGACCGGAGGGAGGCAGAGCAGGGCTGTTCTAGAAGGTCGTGGGGGAAAGGCTGCGAGCTGCCGCAGGGCGTCGGGTGCCTCTGCGCTCCAGAGGAGAAGCGCTCCAGTGCCAGCTCGGCTCCAGGCGGCAGGAGGCCCGCGCGCCCGGGGGGAACGTTCAAGCTGGGAGAAAATGTTTGTCTTGAGAGGAGGGAGAGGGAAATGAGAAAGCTGATTCCAGAGAAACTCGCCCTTCCCCAATGGCTGAGGCTGCAGCCAGGATGGATGCTTCCTTTGAGAGCAATGCTTTTCAGAAAATGCTAGCGCGCTCCTGTCAGATTTCTTGCAAGCTTCCTGCAGAGAGAGACAAGTTTGTGGCGAGGTTTTCATTCCTAAGCCTTTGGCGGCCCTTGTTACCACCTCCTTTGCAGGCATTTTTACACTTGAAACTGGCTTTTAGGTTATTGGTTTGTAGAAATCCAAGAAGCAGACAATGATCGTCAGATACTATTCCAACGAGGGTACCAGTTTTATGATGCTATTTAGTGTATATATTGTTCTCTTACTTCAGGGGTAAAGGAAGAAAAGTTGGGGATCACATTACTTTGTGACTTTTTGGTAGATACATCATCCCAATGCTTGGCTCAGGTTTATGCGAGGTATTCTGATGCCAATGCCACTTTCTCATAAAAGGCAGTGCCTGCCGTAGGGTCTTTTTCTTCCCATTAGTGAACTCTAGGAAAGTATTCACTGAATACTTTGCACAGTACTTGAGAGGAATAAAACTAAATAAAGTCTTCCAACTTCCCCACCTACAACTCCTGGCTTTTGTTTTTCTAAGTGAAAATTTTCAGAGTGCTGGAAGAGTTTTTGTTTCTGAAAATGATCTGAAACTGGAACCAGTGCTGCCCTGGCTTTGTGGCGATTCCAGCCTTCTGCTTTTCCGATTCCTCTGCCACCTGCCCGTGGGTTGCATGTGAGTGGGTCCGAGCGGGGTTGTTTGTGAGAGCTCCTGGAATCCCACCGCGATCTGCACTCTTGCTTTTTCGCCTTCTGCTCTGTGAATCACTGTGCTGAGGAATGCTGGGGCTGGACAGCTTCCCAGCCCTTCTCTCTACTGTGTTGACGTGGGATCTACAGTCAAATGATGACCAGACTAGAGGTGGACAAAGGAGGACAGGCACATTTCAGAATGAAATCTACTAAATTTAAATTAAGTAATAGAAGGATAGAAACAGACATAGCAACCTGTAGATAGCTCCCCATGCTGTGGATGAAATTATGGGGTACATAACTTCTTTCATGGGCTCCCTTTGACAGCAACGTCATGGATAGACTGCTCCCTCTCTCTGGTTGAACTAATGCATGGACCAAGCGAGCTGCTTGTGTCAAGCTCTCCCCTTCACCACCCTTTTGGGGCCAGAATCTCTGTAAGGAAATTACCCACGGCCACATAATAGTGGCTCCGAGGGACTTTGCTTAAAGCAGGACACACTGAAGATCTGGATAAGCCCTTCAGTGTAGGGTCAATTAAACATAAAACAAAATAAGCAAGCAGTGTCCCCTCCTCCACTCATATTCATCCCTACAATAGGATACTATGCAAACATTAAAATTATGATGGCCTTGCCAGTCTGGTATGATACATTTTTCTAAACACATGTGGATGTACTCACACATGCACATATTTGCAGTGGGTATCTTAGGATGGTTAGGGATGATTTTTATTTTCTTCTTTAAAGAAGCTTTTAGGGAATTTTCCATGTCAAAACTATTTTCAAAGTAATACTAAGATTACTAAGATGCTATTTTCCTTTTTCACAGTTGACATTTGCACTGAGGGTGCAAAAGCTTGATGGGTAAACTGCGGGTGTCTTACTGAGAATCAAGGCAGGGACATCACCATGCACTAGTAGTCTTTGAATTTTGGGGGGACTTTGCAGTTAAAAAAAATTTGCCAGTTTCATTAAGAATGTTCTTGATGCCACAGTAAAATTATTAATTTTACCAAATCTTTGTATCTTTGAGTGTATGTCTTTTTAATAGTGTAAATAAATGGGAAGGACACATAAGTTACTACTGCTGATGACCAAGTTCAGTGGCAACCCCAGGGGGAAGCACTGGTGTGATTGTTTGTGTTATGCATTAAGCTAGCTGGTTTTTTAAAATGGAATGTGGTATTTACCACAAAGAATGACAACAGACAAACTAGAGCTATTCTGACTTGGGTATTTGGCCGATGTTTTCTCAAAAATGAACAAAGGGAACTTGCTACTTCTAGTAAAATAACTGCTATTATTGCTTGCCAATGATAACATTTCAGCTTTCAAGTGAAAATCAGAATTTTGCCAAGTTGTTTCCACCACTGTAAGCTTGAAAGTTTCCCAATATTTAAATTTTTTTCTAGTGAGATCAATGGTGATATAAATGAATGTGATTTGTAAATGTCATCTCATAAAATGTGTCAACATTTGGATGATCTGCATAACCAAATAAACCAATAGATCCAAATGACCAGTGTATAGCCTTACAACAATCTTGCATGGGTAAAAGGTCTGTTCAAAGTGCATGATAGCCCAATGGATTTTTAATGTAACAAAATATGAAAAATTCTTCATATGATTTCAGATTCTAAGAATTGGCTACTTGATGAATTTTGGTGTAATATCAAAGATTTTTCAAAATTATCCAAAAAGGCTATTGAAATAGTTGTCCAGCTACACATCTGTGTGAGGCTGGGTTTTCTCCAAGCAAAACGACATATTGCAATAGATTGAATGCATAAGCAGATCGGAGATATTCTATTAAAAAGATTTGCCAAAATGTAGAAACAAAGCTGCTCTTCTCACTCATTTCTCTTTGTTTTGGGAAACAGTTACTTTTCATATAAATATATTTGTATGTCAACATGTAATGGTTTATTATTGTTTTTTAAAATAAATAAGTACATATTTTCGTTTTAATTCCCAGTAAAGTCAATAAGGATAGATAAAACTCACAGAAACATAACCTCCTTGGCATCCTCGTAAATTTAAGAATAGAAGATAATTCAGACACCAAAATGTTTGAGACACACTGGTATATACGGAGGGAAGTAGGTTAAAAATCAGGATGCCTGGGTGTGAGTGGCAGTGCTGTCCTGCACCTCTGGGGGCCTTGGGCTAGTCTCCGCGCTTCAGAATAGGTCAATTGAAGGAGGCTCCTTCCATCTCTGGAAGCCTTTAGAAGCTCGCCTGTGGCTCAACCTGCATGTGGCTTTATGGGGTTTCCCTGTTACTTCAGTCCTCTTTGAGAGAACGTGGTGAGACCCTCTCTCCTTTTTTGTGCACTGGCACCCGCCAATGGCAGATGGAAGAGCTGTTTTGTTCATCAACTGATCATGAAATTTATTCCTGTGGAATCAGAGGTTGTAATAGGATTGCAGAGTGACAATTTGCACCCCTGGAAAGTTATCACCAGACAGTTCCAGAGCATGATGAATATACTCTACCAAGACCATTCACATCATACTTAAGTTCTAAAGGCCCGTTCCCTGAAAACAGGAGGGGAAGGAGAGTGTATTCATTTCCTATTGCTATAACAAATTGCCACACACTTAATGACTTGAAACAATACAAATTTATGATCTTTATTATAGTTATAGAGATCAGAAGTCTGAAATGTGCGGTACTGGGCAAAAATCAAGGCCTGCATTGAAACTTTAAGGGAGAATCTATTTCCATGCTCTTTTTACCTTCTAGAGGTGCCCACATCCTTGGTTCTCGGGATTAGGACAAGGACATCTTTGGGGGATCATTATTCTTCCTACCTCAAGGGATGAGGGGGGCAGGGAGCCTGGAAGCAAACATTTCGGGAGAGGCTCCATCACCCTTGGCTGATTAAGGAGCAGACCTCTTTTCATTGGCCCCCCATGGAACTTAGGGATTTCTTGAGTTATAATTAAACTGTTATCAGAAGCTATTATTTCAGTTAAAAAATAGAGGTATTTAAAGGTATAAAAGTAAAGGAGAGAAAGGACTATGTATGTGTATGTATTTACTTGTAACTGCACAGAACGTTTCTGTTAGAATACCCATGAAACTACAAACTTTGGTGCCTTTGGGATGGAGAGCTGGGTCGCTGGGGGACAGTGGTGGATACTGTTTCATCCATCTCTTTTACCAACTTTTGTAGATGTATGTTAGAACATTTGGAATCAGGGAGGTATGTGAATTGGTTATTCACATTCGTGAGCACCCCGTTTTCCTCCCTCCTAAAAGTTATCCTTGCTTATGAAAAACCTGCGTCTTCCTCCCTCGGCCCGGCCTGGGCAGCGCTTGCGCTCTGAGGCCCTTAGAGGGCGCTCCTGGACTTCTGGAGCCGAAGCCACCACCCGCAGGCCCTTCCGTGCAGCCCTAGTTGGACTTAGCTGTCGCTGCGGCTTTATAGAGATAAGAAAATTAGGACAAACATCCAGTTATCTGCCTTGTTTCTCCCTTAGTGCTTGCCTTTTGGCAATTTTTCTACTCATTGGCGCTTTCTTCATATATTAAATGGGAAAGGACAGATCACTAATTAAGAGTCGAAATGGCTGCGTGTTAGCAAATTCAAATAAGCACTGATGAGAAAGGAAATTGCCTAGACCTGCAGCTGGGGTCAGAAGCCCGCTGGCTGTTGGGGTGCCGCTGGTGCCTCTGCAGGCCTCCACCAAAGATGCAGCAGCTGGAAGATGGGGTGAGAGCAAGGGATGTCTCAGGGGTACCAGCCTCAGGAACTGCCTCCTTGGCCCTGATGGGTCCCGTCTCAGCCTCTCCCTTCCACCACCAATGTTAATTTTTGTATCCAGAGAGGATAATATTACAATTATAATGTCAAATTATTATAATTATATACTATGTATTCTAATTATTATAATAATGCTACACTTGTAGCAAAATAACTTGAGAGGTGTTCATGTTAATTACAAAGTAGATGCTGCTCACATTTTTTTTACCGCAGTCTCCTACATGTGGACGAAATGATTTAATTATGGCATCCTTATAATCTATAAAGTACAATCTACATAATTCTATTTTCAGTTTTATGAGGAATTCCTAGGTGTACATTTTTACTTCCTTTTAATAATAACTGGCAGTTTAAAGTGTTACGGAGTTCACCATTTCTCTCTGTTATTTAATTTAATTTTCACAGTGACCTTACGAAGTCAGTAACATCCTCATCTTGCTACTGGGGCAGCTGAGGTCAGAGAGGTTAACTGGTTTTCCCTAAGTCTGTAATCTAATACTCAGTCTTTGCGGTCCAGATCCCACACTCTCCCTGCAGACACCCCTGTTCTGGTTGGTTTGAGCTTTTACTGTATCTCCTTGTTTTCTTCTCTAGGCTGGATGTGAGTGCCAACACTCACATCTTTGATCTGCTCAGAATGCCTTCCTGAGTTTACTTCTGTAACATTGCTGTCGGCTGTTGAAAAATGATTATGTGAGGTACTGAAATGTGTTGAACTCCAACAAGGCTAAACTTAAGACAAAGTGGCAGTGAATGTAGCCTCTGTTACAAGATGGATTTGGCCTGTGGATGTGAGCAGGGTCCTCACTGTGGGGAAGCCCCCTTTCCTTGGTGGTCCTGTTAAGCTCGCCTGTTGGCATCTTAGAGCCGGTGCTCGGTGTCTAACCTGTTACCCAAACTCTTTGCTACTCTCTGTGAGTGCTTGATCTTTACCGTGGAAATCACAACTTTGAACCTTTGAGACTGTATTTAACCAGAAGGCTCCCGGAAGTGCTACCACCTTGTGCTAAGACACTCAGTTTTGTTTACTGGACCATTTAAGTCAAGGAAAAATGCTGAGAAACATTAGTGGCTAATCTATATGGTTGACAAGTCCCTACATCTCACAGAGGTGGTGAGGCTGATGCTCACAGCGTTAAAGTGTCTTGAACTTCTCAGGAGAAATGTGCCATTTAAATGCTGGGCTCTGCTATTTAGGGACTGTTTTATGGTGTCACGTCCCTTCATCTGGTTTATTAGGTCCTAATTGAGCCACCAATTTGGCTGTGTGACCTTGGGTGGGTCATAACTCTTCAGGCCTCAGTTTTCTCATCAGCAAAGCAAGGGGATTGACCTAGATATTGTGAAGGGCCCCCCAGCTCTAACTTTGTGTGAGTCTCCATTTGAAGGAGGTCCATTCATTCATTCATTCATCCATTCAGCAAGGGTTACTGGGAGTCAGACAAAGACACAAAGTCAGATGAACATAGTGCCTGCTGTCAGAGGACACACAGGCAAGGAGGGCTGGATGAGGATAATACAGACAGGTGATACGTGCTAGGACAGAGGTAGCACAGGTGTTTTGAGGGTGAATTGACTGGGAGGTCAAGGCCAGCTATATTTGAGCCCTTTTGAGAAGGACATAGGCATTAGTTGGAGAAAGATGCTGAGGAAGGACATCTCTGGTCGAGGAACAGACCCTGCTGCACACGTGAAGTCATGTGCAAGGAACCAGGAATATTCGAGGTGGTTCGTGCTAAGTGCTGCTCTGGGTCAATGGTGGCATTCGGGGTTGGAGGTGTAGGAGGCACCCAGCTCAGGAAAGTCCTGGGGTCTGACCTTGATCCATAGTGTTGGTGGCCACCGAGGGAGTGCCATAAGGTGGCATGTCGCTGGGTCAGTGGGAGGTCAGGTAGCAGCCAATCCCAGTACTGCATGAGGCTCTGGCCAGAAAGGGCCATTGAGGCTTTTGTTCATTGTTTGGGGCTTCTTCTATATTTGCTTATTTGTTTGGGGCCTTCTTCATGCCAATATAGACCAAATGCCTATATTGTATCGCCTCCAGTCATATCTCATTTGAAGAATCATCTTTGTTTCATGTTTTCTGAAATGGCTCGTATGTTCCAGAACAGTCTTATTTTGGAAAGGGCTCCAGGGTAGCATAAGTCTCATGTATTTACATGTGGGCAGTCTGGTAGGATTGATTTATAGTGCGGGTCTTGAACAGTTGAGTATGTTGGCTTTGGGGCCAGGGGTGGGTCTGTGCCAAATTCAGTGTGGTTCCCAAGGAAAGACCCTGTGCAATTTTAGGAGTTCATGGGCGGGGAGTGGTAAGTAACTTGGCTTAAAGAGGAAATAAATGGACACAGTTTACTGAGACTTTCACTAAGTCTGCAAACAGAGTGGAGATGAGCATGTGCCACTCTTGAAGAAGTGTGGATAGCGGGTACCTTAAGCCCTAGTGCTGTGGCTGGAGTTAGCTAGCATTTTAATAAAGTACCTGAGAAAGCTGTGCGGTGATGTCTCCTAATTTTTCATGATCCCACATTTGTCTGGAGATGAAGTCTCATCCACAGTCACCCATGGCGGAACTCACGGGGCTGGATGGGGTGTGGCAGGTGTGGTCAGGTGTGGTGTCCTAGGAGCTCAGGAGAAGCCTCCCTAGCCAGGCAGGGGAGGGCAGGACCTGGGGCAGGTGGGCTCACTGTGAGCCCCTTCTGAAGAATCAGGAGAAGCTGCTTTTGACAAAAGCTCTGTGAAATTTATGGGTGCTCTGGGGGATGGTGGGGAAAACTGCCATGGTGGCACAGAATCACATATACAATAAAATCCCCCTGCAGAGAAGGCTCGGCCTCCTCTGATGGATGTGTGCTCGTGATGACGCATCAGTCACACTTAGAGGACAGAAAGCTCAGGAGTGCCCTTCACAGAGTAGCTGGTGTGGCTGTGTTTACTTTAGTGGAGTGTCGTGGGGTGCTTTCAACGATCATTTCTTATGGCCAATTCTGGTGTGCCCATTCCCCCGCAGACATAAAGGTCGGTGGTTTGGACTTCACCCTAGGCTTAAATGCTATTTTTCAAAAAATGTTTTAAAAAAGTTTTAATTTTGAGATAGTCATAGATTCCTGTTCAATTATAAGAAGGATGAATGTTGTCAGAATCAAAATGGAGTCACTTATGCTAAAACCCCTGACAAACAGAGCCATGAAAGGCCAGCAGGGGAGGATTCTATGCACGAATGCCTGATAACAAGAGCTCTCAGCAAAGACTACAAAAATTACAAGCCTGCCAAAGGCCATGACAACCTGACGTCTGCCCAGCAACTTCCTGTCCATCCTCAGACTGGCACTATCCTCTTCATTGATCCTTGTAGCCAAGGATAATGAACTCAAGACAATTGCTATCTTCCTTATTTTCGCTTTAAAAGCCTTTGTCTTCCTTTCACTCCCTGAGTATGCGTATAGTTCACCGTGGCATACAAATTCCCATTGCAATACATACTCCTAAATCAACATCATTTTCTCTTGGAGTCTCCCTCTCTGTTGTTTAGGTTGACAGCAGTAAGGTGGACGTACCATGTACCCTCCACCTAGTTTCCCCTAAAGGCGGCATTTGCATAGCTGTAGTGCCGCATCCCAGCCAGGACAGTGAAGATGCAGAAGAGTTCTCTGAGAAGGCCCCTGTGCTACCTAATGTAGCCATATTTACCTTCCTTCCTCCCATCCACCCCAGACACAAATCTGTTCCCCCATTTTATAATTTTGTCATTTTAAGAATGTCATATAAATGCCGTTCTACAGTATGTCACCTTTTGAGATTGTCCAAAGACTATTTTTAAAAGTGTTTTGCCCATTCTGCTTGTGATCACTGCAGTTAGCTTGCAAGTGTTTTTCTTTTTTTTTTTTTGTAAATGGAGAAATCATGGCATGCAATTTGGCATCTCAGGGAAGTGCGGCTACCACCCTGGTCCAAGCCGTATTACCTGGATTTTTGCAGTGACCTCTCCATAGTCTCACTGCTCCTGTCCTCTCCCGCAACATTCCAGTCTCAGGACAGCAGCTGCAGCAATTCTCGTGATGCACAATGTCACAGAACCTTCCAATAGCTCCCTGACTCCCTCAGATACAAACCAGAGTCCCAACAAGTTTTCCAGACTGTGCATGATCCTTTCCACACCACGCCCTCCCTCACCGTCTGCCATCTGCTTTGGCCTCCGGCCTCCTGGCTGGTTCTGCAATGTACGAGGCCTCTTCCAGCCTTAGGGCTTTTGCGCTGGCCGTTCCTTTTGCCTGAGCAACCTTCCATGAACATCAGTGGGTTGATAGCTGGGTGCAGTGGCTCATGTCTATAATCCCAGCACTTTGGGAAGCCAAGGCGGGCAGATCACCTGCCTGAGGTCAGGAGATCGAGACCAGCCTGGCCAAAATGGTGAAACCCTGTCTCTACTAAACAAAAATTAGCCAGGCATGGTGGCAGACGCCTGTAGTCCCAGCTACTCAAGAGGCTGAGGCAAGAGAATCGCTTGAACCCAGGAGGCGGAGGCTGCAGTGAGCCAAGATTGGGCCACTGCACTCCAGCCTGGGTGACAGAGCAAGACTCTGTCTCAAACAAAAACAAAAACAAAAACAATCTATGGGTTGATGCCTCATCCTCTTCAGGTTCTTTGTGCAACATCTTCTCAAGAGGCCTTCTGGACTTCTCCCTGCCTTTAACAGGGTAATCCTATCCTTACCCCCAGCACATCTTATCACTGCCTTATTTTGCTCCACGCCCTCATCAACACCCGGCATTTCATATATTTTACTGGCTTACTTGATATTTGGCTATCTTCCTTTGCTGGAATGTAAGCTCCACGAGGGCAGGACATTGTGTTGGTTTTATTCCCTGCTATAGCCTCCGTGTCTAGAATGCTGCCCTTAAATAGCAGAGGCTCAGTGACTGCTTACTAAATGACTGGATGTGCTTTCTTTGGTATTAGTTACATATGATATACCTAAATATATTTATGTATGTTGACCGGCCTCCAGCAGAATAAGGGGGTGGTGCCGAGTGTGGGACAGTGCCCTGCTTCCCTCCCAGCCTAACTGTGTGGTGTCAGCATATGCGTTAGTGAGAGAGTTGCTTTGTGTTGGAAGTCCATTTTCAGTTGGAGAGAAGAATTGTATTTACACAGTATGTGAGTGTCCTAGGGCTGCTGTAATAAAATACCACAAACTGAGTGGCTTTAAACAACAGAAATGTATTATCTTGCAGCTCCGGAGCTGGAAGTCTGGAATCTGTAGGGCCAGTCATGCTCTCTTGGAAGGCCCTGGCAGAGAGCCTATCCTTGCTTCTTCCTAGCTTCTTGTGGTTTCCTTGGCTTTTAGACACATCAGTCCAACCTCTGCCTCCACGTCATATGGCATTCTCCCTGCGTCTTCTCTTGTAAAGACACCGGTCATATGGGATTAGTTTTGGCCATCTTAACTCTGTAAGACTGTATTTCCAAAATTTCCCAATAAGGTCACATTCACAAATACCAGGGGTTAGAATTTCAATATATTTTTGGAAGGGATACAATTTAACTCATAACGTGTGGTGTGCTTACCAACATGATTCCTTTTCTTTTTTTAATTTTTAATTTAATTTTAAGTTTAAGTTCCAGGGTACATGTGCAGGATGTGCAGGTTTGTTACATAGGTAAATGTGTGCCATGGTGGTTTGCAGCACCTGTCAACCCATCACCTAGGTATTAAGCCTGGCATGCATTAGTTATTTTTCCTGATGCTCTGCCCCAACCCCCTGTCCTCCCCTGACAGGCCCCAGTGTGTGCTGTTCCCCTCCCTGTGTCCATGTGTTCTTATTGTTCAGCTCCTACTTATAAGTGAGAACATGCAGTGTTTGGTTTTCTGTTCCTGTATTAGTTTGCTGAGGATAATGGCTTCCAGCATTATCCAAGTCCCTGTAAAGGACATGATCTCATTCCTTCTTATGGCTGCATAGTACTCCATGGTGTATATGTCCCGCATTTTAAAATCCAGTCTATCACTGATGTGATAGACTGGGTTGATTTCATGTCTGCTGTTGTGAATAGTGCTGCAATGAACATACGTGTGCATGTATCTTTATAATAGAATTATTTATATTCTTTTGGATATAGACCCAGTAATTAGGTTGCTGGGTCAAATGGTATTTCCAGTTTTAAATCTTTGAGAAATCACCACACTATCTTCCACAATGGTTGAACTAATTTACATTCCCATCAACAATGTAAAAACGTTCCTATTTCTCCATAACCTCGACAGCATCTGTTGTTTCTTGACTTCTTAATAATCGCCATTCTGACTGGCATGAGATGGTATCTCATTGTGGTTTTGACTTGCATTTCTCTAATGATCAGTGATGATTCCTTTTCAGTAGGCAAAAGAGTTCATCAGCTTCTAGCACTGGGCCACAGCTCAGATGAGGAAGGGATAAGCCCCTGAGATGCATTGTGTGCTGAACTGTCAACCTGGTGTTCCAAAGACCTATGGACATTCAAGTGGTCTTAATTATTTGATCAAGCCTGGCTAGGTCCTTCACTGATAGATTAAATAATAAGTAATTAACTCACATCTTCTGCGGGCAGGGCACTGTGCTAGGCTCTGGGGTTACAAAGATTTAGTAATAAAGAAGTTGGGATTGCTGTGGCCATAAATGACAACCAAATATGATAAATGTAGCAATATAGGATCATCTTGGACTTTCTAATAAACTTCCGCTTGCCAGATGTAGTGTTTTTACATTGAAACATACAGAACTGTAAGATCAGGAAGAGAAACCACCAACTATGTCTGAGGACCTTGCCTGGCGGGCACACTTTGGTGTTGACTCAATCTGAAACTCAAAAAATCAGTACTTTTTTTCCTATTCTGTAAAATTTGGAATGTGCCTTTCTCTTTTTTTCTGTCTAGATTGTATTTTCTAATTGAGACTTCCAGGTCATGAGATGAAGGCAGTCTTGTTCTACCACAGACAGTCCATGGGCCGTGGATCTGACAGCCTTTGACCTTCTTGATGATATGGAAAACCATCACGTTCTCTTTTCCTGTAACATGTGCCCTGGCTCCAGTCTGTTTTTTAATACCACTTTCCACTCCACCCATCAATTTCCTTCTACTGCTCTCTGATAGCCTGGGAGAATTGAAGCATCTTGTTTTGGCTAATAATTCTCAGAATCCACATATGTACCTGCTGATATTCAAACAAACCACACCCAAAGGATGTGAGGCCTTGGGGTGATCTTATTTTCACAGCTGCATCATGACTGCACTTTCAATGCTAGCACCTAGGGAGGCTGAGGTTCAGGGTACAAACACTAGATATCATCTGAGCAGATTGTGTGTCCCTCTTAACAAGCATGCGGAATCTGACTTGGGGTCCTTGGGATGAGTTCCGTGGGGTCCACTGGCACTCTGAAATTGTAATGTAGTTTCATTACAGGAAACAATTCTCAGCATTTTGAGGAGTCAAAGATAGGCTAGGTCACAGCCACAGAGAGGGACAGACTATGTGTCCTCTTGGAATTCAAGCCCTGGAAAGCAGTGAGTGACCCAGGGCTTCCACACATGGGGAAAATCTCTAGTAAAAGCGCTCTTTGAATTCCATTAATGCCATACTCTGTTCTCTGATTATCCTAGCTTTGGGAGGACTTCCTTTCCCCTGGGCCCTGATAATGTTTCTTGTTAGTGGCACTCAGCTGATAGTAAATGCCTGATACCCTCACTCTTTCATGTGCCAATGTAGTGCTTCCTTCAGTAGATTGAAGCCCATTGCCTTTCTTACATATCTCCAAATTAATTCACTTGTATTCCCAGGGGAGTGGCTTTCTTAGTAACTCTATGTCACCCAATTGAATAGCATATTCAAAGATGTTTACCTTTGAAGGTAGGGAAATGTGTTGGAATTTGCCTGGGTCTGTCCAGTCATGGAAATCACTGAAGACTATTTTGGATTTACAATCAATAGGCAGATGGAAGAGGAGAAGCTGAATCAGATTATCTAAGTTTCCTTTCAACTGTCAAGATTTAAAAATTCCAATTAAAAGTATGTTTTCCAAGATGGAAGGAAATGAGGACCAAATGCCAGCTCTGCTGTGTGCGGAGGGAGAATTGGCCAAGAGCTGAGATACTGGGAATCAGGCTGGGTCATTTTGTACCAGGTTGTGATTGGGGATATCAGGTGTTCTGTGGCATTTATTCCTCATGTTGATGTTATCTCACATGTGTGGAGTGTTTTATGATTTTCTTTCATATTTTATTCTTGCATCAATCCTATGAGGTAGGTAGGATTAGCTACATTCATAGAAAAATGGACTAAGTTTGATATTTGTAGAGAGAAACTTGAGTGGCATATTTGCTTTCTTTGAGGGCCTTGAATGGTGGTGGACACTCTCTTTCAAGAGGAGAAAAATGGGTTCTTTTCAGCCTTGACTTGACTTGACATTGGGGGACATTCCCTTCTTCCTGAAAATCTCTCCTGCTTCCATGATGCAACTTTTTTCTGGTTCTCCTACCACTAAAATTTCAGATTTAAACTGTCATCCCTCAGACCTCTGCGTTCTTTGGGTGGAGATGTCAAGTAGACAGTTGGACACACTGGAGCTCAGAGGGGAAGCCAGGCTGGAGTTGGGAATTCAGGAGCCTTCCACATATGGATGGTCTTTGCAGTCATAGCACCAGGTGTGCTACATGGGTAGAGAAGGAAGGAGTGCAGTAGAGAAGAGGGAAAGCCAGAGCTGGGCTCTGCAGTGCTCTACCATTTAGAGTTCTGGCAGAGGAGGAGGAGCTGGCAAAGGGGACCAAGACGGGGTGACCAATGATGTGGAAGAGAAACCAGGGAGTGTGGCATCCCAGAAGCTAGTCTAGTGGTCAGGGAGGACCTGAGAAGACTTGCTTCTAGGAGGAGGCGCTCACTGTTGTCGGACATAGAGTAAGCTGAGGAGCAAGAGATGAAGATTTGGCAGCATGAAATCTTGCGTTCACAAGATCCATTCAGGGCACGAGCTCATGTGTCCTTATGAATTCAGCTGCCACCACTGGCTTTCAGTTTTATATCTTTGGTTCTGATTTATCTCTGGGTTTATACTTATTGCTTTTAATTATAATTACAGCTGAGAGGGAACAAAGTATAGTAGAAAGAGCATGGTCCATAGTTTCAGATGGGTCTGAGCTTGACTGTCACTTACTAGATGTGTGCCCTTGGGCAAATCACTTAACTCTCTGTGACTCAGTTTCCTTATTTATAAAAATGCGAACACCAAAGTGCAGTGCACAGGCTTTGAAATGGGGATCAAAGAGAAAATAGTTATGATAACACAGCTCATTTTAAATCACTTCTATATTGCCAGTTCCTTGCTTAGAATCTGACACATAGTAGGCACTCAGTAAATCTCTGTTCCATAAATGAATGAAATGGCTGGCACTAAGTAGGTGGTCAGCAAATGTTCCTTTCCTTTCTTTTTTACTTCCTTAAATATTTTTTTCTATATTACAAACGGATCCAAAACTTAAACTCTTAGTTTATTAGGTGTGTAGTGTATTTTCCCCTTTTTATTGATAATTTACCTATGCCCATTCATAATCATTAAATGAGTTTTATTATCTGAAATGTTTTAAAAATGGCTCATTAGCAAGTGGGGTTGTCACTGGGCCTATGTGGTAGCTGGCTCTTGGTCATGTCTGTCTCATTCACTGTGTTTCAAACCTACCTCTCCAGAACCTTTGCTTGGCCTCTCTTCTAAGGGTGTTTTTCAGGGAGCTTTCTGAGTAATATGAGTGGTGATTTTGGGTACAGTAATGCCCAAGTGTTTAACATAGTTAGACAATGACTTTCACATTTTGGGAAAAGGAATAAATTTTCAGGGAGTGGTTTTTGGTCTGGCATGCCAAGCAGTTTATAGTAGGCTGAGACTAGCTGGACTAGCAAACAATGGTCATTCTTTAAGAAACTATTTCTTGGTTACAAATTGAATCTGAAGAATGTGCGAAAAAATTCCACAAAAACCTGCAAAGTACTGGCTTCTAGTTGGGTCTCTGTTGCCTGCCAATGGAAGGCATGAGCCCTTCCCAACTATAGGCATTTGCTCTTTAGGGCCTGTTATTTCTTATGATTGTTATAAATAAATATACTTATGGAATTCCTCCAGTTCCATTTCCCTAAACCATTCTGGAAAGCTGGTGGTTTATATGGAGGGTGGGGGGGGGGGAATCTTGTTTTTGCTCTGAAACGGTAGCTTTTGCTTACACTGGATCCTAAACAAAATGGCCAAGAACTTTAAAACCTCAAATCCTAATGATTGAATTCAGCCAGATCTGATGGTGGAGTTCAGTCTGATTTATGGCTGCATCACTCTCTGGGCAGATGTAATTACTCAAGTCAATGGCCTACTGACAAATAAGCATTGAAATTGTCAAAATTAAATTCCCAGAGGGGATCCCTTAAAAATAACAAACAGAAAGTAATGAAAATTAAACCAAAGCAGCTCTCATTTAAAAATCAGGAAGATGATTTGATTTTACAAATCCAGAAGTGATGTTAGGTAGCAGTGGGTTGGGCTGCAGACAACATGATATCTGATTAACAGTGGCTAAACAAGTAAGAGAATTGTTTATCTCATTCACCAGTAAACTTGGGAGCAGAGAGACCGGGACTGTCCCATGGTTTAACAAGGTTATGGACACATAGCCTTGTTCCATTTTCCACTTTGCTGTCATCATTCTCAAGATTGTCACTCCATGTTTTAAGTTGGCAGCTGCATCACCAGGTATCATGTTGACATCCCAAGGGGTAAAAAAGGAGGAAGGTACAAAAGGCCACCAGCCCATAACAGCCAAACCTAACCCCTTTAAAATGCTTTCTGAGAAATGGCAGGACGAACCTCCCTATGTCTGTCATTGGCTAGAGTTGATCATATGGCCATCCTAGCTGCAAGGGAAGCTGAAAAGTCATGACTGAATGTTTAGTATTCTGGCCTCTGTAGTAGAAGGCAAGGGAGAAAGAAGCTGGGAATAGCTTTTGGGTAGCCAATCCATAGTGTCTATGGTGGTGGTTTCTGAATTTAATGCAATCTGTCAGACGGTTATATATTAGTTGGGAAACTGGACTTGAATGGGACTAATAAAAATCCAGCTTAAAATGTCTCAGAAACATCTTGAGGGATAAGGGAGATTTATTTTAAGACTATTCTCTGAGCAAATTACAGTCAGTTCCTATTGGCTTGAGAGTTTGATTTTAGTTTTGCTGCTTGCAGTTTATTTTGAAACAGAATTTCTTCATGTTTCATTTTACTGTTCCATTTTTGTATTTTTCTGCTTTGTAGATCTTTTCCAAGTTGGCGGGTGGTGGGGAAGGAGGGAGTAAAGTAGGAAGATAATGAAAGGGAATAATGAAAGATAAACTATATTAATGAATATTCTTTCTCTTTGCTCCAATTTCCCCTGAAATGCAAATAAACAAACAACCTAGAATCTAACACATTCTAGGCAAACTTTGTCCATAAGGAGCCATTAACCCTTGAGATAATGAGAGTGCTTCTGAATGAAAGGCTTAGTTTGCCCTCATCGTGCAATGGTGCAGGTGAACTTGGCTGGAGGTTGGGAGCCAATTCCTGAGGTCCCTAGAGGCAAAAGTGAGCTGCCCAGGTACCTTGGAAGCTCTTTCCATGGGACCTTTTCATGTAAGGCAGCATGCCTGGCAGTTGCCTGCATGGCAAGCTGACATGCAGCTCCCAGGCAGAGCCCAGAGACACAGGGGTCTCTGGCACAGGATGCAGTCTACTGAAGCCCAGGTGTGAGGATCACTCTGACATGCAGCCACTTGAAACTCACCAGAGGTGGAAAGTGCTCACACAGAAACGCGTGGAGGTGGTGGTGGCGCTGACAGTCTGGAGGGGATAGAAATTGATCTGACAAATGCCATTTAAGGATTGGCCAATGTTTCCCCTTTGGAGATTTGGATGGCTTCACCATTTGGCTTCTTTGAGATGATGAAGAAAAAATGTGATTCACAACTGTATTCAGTGACTATCCAGTGTACCCTTATAAGTACATTGGCATGCATGCATGAAAGTTTGGCCTTTTTGTCTGAATAAAATAATGCGTTGTTATCAAAATGCTGGAAGAATAGCTGGTGACAACCACGGGGAATTTAGGTGGGGCTGCGGTGGCTGGAGAGGTGAGCCCAGGAGTGCCGCTGGCTCCTCTGCTCAGGAGTGAGTATTGGCTGCAGCCAGTAATGGGGACCTGCAGCCTAGGGCAGAGCTGCTCACTCCACCAGTGTCCACCCTCCCCAGGTGAACATAACAGGGCGCTTTGGGGCCTGGAGTAGAATCCAGTAAGTTAGAGTTTCATGGGGAAATGGATTGGGCAGTGAGGAATGTGAACCAGGGATAGTCTGTAGGACACGATCTGCTTCCATTGCTGTCCTCCATCTCTCGTGGCACCTGGGACACCTGCTTGCCTTGATGTTCCTCTGACCTGACAAAGCGCTGGGTGGTGTCAGAGTTTTGTTTGCAAAGCTCTTTCCATTCCCTAGTGTGTTTTATAATAAGTTCAGACTCCAAAGAGCTAGGGTTTGATTTTATTTTTTGTACAGTTATCCTTAAAGAACCCAATGCCAACTGTGGAAAACACTTCTATTGAACCCTATGCATATTGAGAAATGTCAGAAGGGGACCCAGGGGGTTCTTTTCATACCCAGACTGTGTCTACCCAACAGCAGCCTCCTCGGGGAAAATTCAATCCACCATCTGCAAATTTTACTAGTATTAGTTTTACATCACAGAACCACAAAACAACCTGGACTTCCAGGGTTTTCTTTTTTCTGGGTGGGGTCTGGGTCATAAATATTTGCCAAATATAATTCCAACATCCATTTGAAAAAATATTTAAAATTTGGTCAGTCATTTGAGTCGTTCTAGTATTTTGCCCATGTGTTGTCAACCCTCTGATGTTTCTGAATTTCTGAATATTTCTGTGCTGTCCTGTATCGTATGAATGATAGCTTCATTTTTCCACCTTTCCTCTGAATCCTAGTCTCTATGTCGTATATCACATTGATTCCTACCTCCAAGCTATACTGCTATTGTAGTACATCCTAACCTTTTCTGGCTGATTATCTGTTGACTTTTTGGTCCAAGATGTGGTTACACTGAGATCTGTGTTTTCTTCATTTCAGAGTCTGGGAAGTATTTGGCGGTTTCCAATGGAAAGTAAAACTTGAACTTCAAACAAAGATGAAGTAGGGAGACTTACGTAAGCATGAAGGGTTTGTTGCATTAAAGAGCAATCTTTGGTATACTTAAGAAATAACTTCAGCATTTTTGGGGTTTTATTGGACCAGTGTATTTCCAAAGCCCTTAACATTCCTTTGGGAGTTTCTTTGTAACTTAGTCTGTCCTCACTGGCTCCTTGGCATTTGCTGCAGGCTGGGTGGGCTGCTGTGAATGCTCCACTAGGAATGGCAGTCGTACCAGGTGGTATCTGCCTCAATTTCTTTCTTTTTTTTTTTTTTTTTTTTTTTGAGACAGAGTCTTGCTCTGTTGCCCAGGCTGGAGTCCAGTGGCGCAATCTTGGCTTACTGCAAGCTCCGCCTCCCGGGTTCATGCCATTCTCCTGCCTCAGCCTCTTGAGTAGCTGGGACTACAGGTGCCCGCCACCAGGCCCGGCTAATTTTTTTTTTGAATTTTTAGTAGAGACGGGGTTTCACCGTGTTAGCCAGGATGGTCTCGATCTCCTGACCTCGTGATCCACCTGCCTCGGCCTCCCAAAGTGCTGGGATTACAGGCGTGAGCCACTGCGCCCGGCCGCCTCAATTTCTTTGAGTGCGTCCAAATACACTGGCTGTGGGGGTAGCTTCAAAAATGTTAATTTTTACTTTTTTTTTTTTTTTTTTTAAGATGGAGTCTCACTCTGTCATCCAGGCTGGAGTGCAGTGGCAAAATCTCAGCTCACTGCAACCTCCGCCTCCCAGGTTCAAGCGATTATCCTGCCTCAGCCTCCAGAATAGCTGGGATTACAGGTGCCCACCACCATGCCCACCTGGCTAATTTTTGTATTTTTAGTAGAGACAGGGTTTCACCATGTTGGCCAGGCTGGTCTTGAACTCCTGATCTCAGATGATCTGCCCACCTCAGCCTCCCCAAGTGCTGGGATTATAGGTGTGAGCTGCTGCACCTGGCCAATTTTTATTTTCATAGAAGATCTTGATTAATAATGTTCTAGCCCATCGGGGTCTGACTATGGATGGCAAAAACCCAACTTGAGCTCATTTAAATTCCAGAATTCATTGGTTCTTGGAGCTATACCATGGGATAGGCAGGGGGCCAGCTGGCCTTTGGGATGCCTAGAACTAGGGCTGTAAGCATCATTGGAACTCTCTCCTCACCTCTGGTCTCTTCTCAATGTGACAGCAAGAGCTGGTCACCAGCAATGTCAGGATTCTTCCTCCACAGCCTCGTGAGTAGAAAGTACTGGCCACATCTCCAGTCCAGCTCCAGTTAGAAAAATTCCTGGGAAGTTCCCTGGGCAGTTTGGGGTCACACGTCCATTACCAGAAGAATTAGGGGAGCTTTACTGGATAGACAGAAATGATGTGTATTCTTTCCACAATACAGTGTGGATTGGCTTCCTTATAGAGATTGTGTGGAGGACTCTAAGAATTTAGGCAAGCAGGACGCTTTGGATTCACTTATTCTTACTTCAGGGAACCCTGAAGAAACGGCACCGATTTCAGTGAATGATGGCAGAGGCCACAGTTGCTGAGGGAACTCTCACCCCTCCTGGGCGTTGGAAAGACTCTTCCCTGGCTGAGGCCGAATAGTATAAGAAGTAAAGGAGGAAAGCTATTTGGACTTTAATTTCTTTCGGTTTTGAGCTATAAGACAAAGACAGCACTACTTTTGGACTTTAAATTTCCCCTGGGAATTTTGTGATGGGAGGGATTTCTGTGAAAATCTGGGTGTTTTTATATTGCTTGTATTGTGTTATGAACAGATTGTCATGCTGTTATGTCATCTCATTCCTGGGACTGTGCTGGGCTCTTCTGGATAGCATAAACTGGGCAAAATTTGGCATTGGAATAGGTCAGGACAGCAGTAAATTTTCAGCCTGGAGGTCAGCTTGACTTTGGAGTTGGCTAAAGAATGAGTTTTACCCATGTCAAAGCCTTCTGGGGTCCTGATAGGGGCGGTATTCCCATCTTTAATCCCAGGAAGATACATGGCAGGTTACTGATGAATCCAGGGCATCGCCTGAAGGTGGCGCGAGGTGGTCCTCATCCTCGCCCTGAGGGGCAGCCACAGCTTGACCATAGGTTGACCGTTGCACCCAGTGGGGTCAGGGACAACCAGCTGGGGATGTTCAGGGAGCTTCCAAGGAGAGGAACTGTGGTGCCATAGAGCACAACAGAGGACATTTCTGGCCTGTCCCCTGTCCCGCACTCCACGCTGCAGCCGAGGGTGATTGGGAGGAGTACAGCCTGGTCGGCCTTCTTTCTTTACCTGGTGGCATGAATGGATTAGAAGCCCCAGGCATGAGTGTCTCCTCTCAGGTCTGCCTTCCTACGGGAAAGTTCCATTTGGCTCCACTCCCACGTCCCTGTGGGAATTCATGGGGTGAGGTCTAGGCCGGTTGCTCTCTGTCCACAGCTGGGAAGCTGCGTGCTGAGTAGTCTGCCCTGCAGTCTCCTTCTGGGTCTTCCAGTGGTCCAGAGCTGGAGCAGGGAGACGAGGAGGTAGGAAGCACAAT
This sequence comes from Homo sapiens, assembly GCF_000001405.40. NCBI lineage: Eukaryota > Metazoa > Chordata > Mammalia > Primates > Hominidae > Homo > Homo sapiens. Next base: position 159,190,618 of record NC_000006.12, read on the forward strand.
GGTGGCCACACGTTAGAGCCCACATTCTCCAGTTCAGCTTTGTCAGCAATAAACCTGATATTTTGCTTTCTGACTCTTTTATCTGTTTGTTCAATTTTGTTTTGAACTCAAATGTTCATCATGAGCACTTTTGTGCCCCATGCTTCAAGTTCAGGAACGGGTGCTTCATACATTTAGCCTGGGGAAATGAAACTGAAACGTAATTTGTTATTGATCAGCACACTAGAAATATATAGGCCCTTTTATTGCTTGGCCTAATGTATTCCATTTGGTATTTGTATCAGTTCGTTCTCACGCTGCTGTAAAGAACTACCTGAGACTGGGTAATTTATGAAGAAAAGAGATTTAATTGACTCACGGTTCTTCAGGCTGTACAGGAAGCAAGGCTAGGAGGCCTCAGGAAACTTACAAGCTTGGCGGAAAGCAAAGGGGAAGCAAGAACGTCTACGATGGTGGAGCAAGAGAGCGAAAGGGGAGGTGCCACATATTTTCAAATAACCATATCTTGTGAGGCTATCATGGGACAGCACTAGGGGGATAGTGCTAAACCATTAGAAACCACTCCATGATCTCATCACCCCCTACCTCCAACACTCAAGATCACAATTCAACATGAGATTTGGGTGGGGACACAGAGCCAAACCATATCACTATAAGAGATGGGTCCTAGGAATCAATGAATTGTCTAAGTACAGTGGGACCAGCAGTTTTGAGATCCAAAGATAACTCAAATCTATTATTTTAAGACTTGATTTTCAAATCAAATCAAATGGATTTTTAGTTACTTGAGTAATTTTCTCCAGGGAATACTTGGTAGAAAAATCAAAGAAGAAATAGCATTTGTTTTTCATGCAACTGTTCCATAACTCATTAACTCAGAAAATATTTGGTTTTACCTATTCAACATTTTGTTAGTGGATTTTTTGAAACCTCAGCTGTGTATTTTAACTTCATTATCTACAACGATTATGTGAGTGGTAAGCTCTGTTTCAGTGCAATCACAGAATTAAAAAATGTAAGCATGCTTATCAGTTGCTATTTTGTTTCTAAATGGTAGACTGACTGTAAATCACACTTAAAGTATTCATTTATTCACCTGATATTTATTGAATGCTGACTCTGAGCCAACACTTTTGGTGCTGTAGAACATTTGGCTAAAATCAGTGCATTTCAAAGTTAAAATGGAGCATATTCAAGGGAATTATGCCTGATAGAAGATGATTTTATTCTTTGTTTCTCCCTGGATTAGTCGTGCTTTTTTTTTGTGACAGGGTCTCACTCTGTCGCCCAGGCTAGGGTGTGGTGGTATAATGATAAACCATAGCTCACTGCATCCTGCCCTCCCAGGCTCAAGCAATGCTCCCACCTCAGCTTCCCATGTAGCTGGGACTACAGGTGCACGACACCATGTCTAGCTAATTTTTTTGTATTGTTTTTATATATAGAAATGAGGTTTCACCATCTTGCTCAGACTGGTCTCAAACTCCTGGGCTCAGGTGATCCACCTGCTTCAGCCTCCCAAAGTGCTGGGATAACCTACGTGAGCCACCACGCTCAGCCATGTCATGCTCTTATAACCACCCCTGCCCCCACCTCTAAAATCTACCATCCATTCATCTTTTTCCTTTTACCTACCTTGAGAACTTAATGAAGTAACTATATGTCATTAAAAAATTGAAACAAAACCAAGACCAAAAGCAACACTTTTAATCCAGAAAGATTCAGTTACTGTTTCAAATCACAGTTTTCTCAGCATGATTTCTTATGAATTGTGTCATTATGGCATTATTTTTACCATTGGTTCACTTTATTCACTGATTCTGAACCTTCCTTCTCTTTATTCTGAGAAATAGTGCTTGACAGAGTTCCCTTGAGAGGAAGCATGCCTATTTTCGTCCACCATGGATATGCCTGGACACTGAAGGATGATGCTGAACATCTAATTCAGGTGCTTGGACAGGTGGTGTTGTCTGAACCAAGATTTTGAATAATTGGATATTGAATTTCATTCTGAAAGTGTTCAGTTTGAAACTCATATTGGACCATATAGACAGTAAGGGAATATTGGTCTGGAATGGTTAGGCCAGAAATAGACATGCAGAAGTCAACAGTTTTGCTGGTAGTTGAAGCCTGTGTAGCATCCCACACTCCTCTCCCTGAAGGCTTCCTGGGATGCATCTCCCTACTTCTTGGAGCCCAGGACAGCTTTTTCAGAGCCTTCCGGTCTCTAGAGGGAGGGAGGGGAGGTCTGGGGGTGTGATGTGATTCCTTGGACAGATCTGTACCTGATGCCTTCAGGGGCTAGGTTGGTCTAGTTCCTCTCCAGACTTTAGCTTTCATCTTGATTCATAGACTTTCCTCACGGACCCAGATTCACAGAGTCTCTGAATTGAAATTGGACACGAGGAAGTTGTCTGGGTCAACAACTAAAGGATTTCTTCTGGGGTCAAGGTAGAGGTCACTGACTGGCCACCAGTGGACTGAGTCCAACAGCTCATGTGTGTATGTGTGTGTGTGTCCCTACATAGTGTTTTTTTTTAATGGAGTTAATCACCAATTAATACACAATTGGGAGTTTTCACACAAAAATCAGGGTTTTAGCTTCTTAGAAAAAAATCCCAGAATGTCTGACAATGTGGAGCCTGGACACCTTTTGTCTGAATTTCTTTTCGTCACCGGAACCTAAACTGAATTGTGCCTTTAGATGGAGCATATATTCTCCATAGATGTCACTTGCTGGAGGTTCATGGCCCTTGTGAGCATTTCATGGTCTTCATTACTTGTAGGCATGGTCCTTGGAGACTCCTGGATTTGATCTTGTTGGTCTTACCTCCTTTCCTTCAACCATAAACCATTTAAGTGAGCACCAAGTGTGTGGGCAGCCCTGAGTGAGAAGATGAGGTATGGTGCCCCATCTACTATGATGAACAGACCCTGCAGATATTGGTCAGGTTGGCCCAGAGACCTACCGCTGGACTCAGGCTTAGTTCTGGGCTCAGCATGTCAGCAACCCCGGGGAATCTCTGGAGGCCTGTCTGTGCAAACTGAAGACTCTTCAAGGACAGACATTGAAGAGCCATTGGAATCTTGGAATCCATCTATCTAAGAGCAGTCATGGATCCATACTTTGACCCTTGAACCAAACTGGCCTCTTTGGGCCCTCTTGGATAAGTTCTGGAGTTGGTGCTAGACCAAAGTAAGAAATCTAGGTGGGGATTGTGCCCTTATTTTTCATTCTCCGGCAAACCAATAGAGGTCATATTCCCCATGGGAGCTATGGCACAGAAGTGTCTAGCCTGGCAATTGCTGGGTATCTGAACGGCCACCAAAATATTATTTTGCCACTCAGTCCCCAGCAAAATATTCTTGAATCTGAGTAAAGTTTACTGGTATGAACTGTGGAAGTGATTTTGCTGTGTTATGAAATCTTTGGAGTCATAGCAGGCTCTTACTGGCTTTCTTCTTCTGTCTGGAGCACCTTACCATCTGTCTCCACTCAAAGACAGTCTTGAATGAGGAAGGACACAGACAGGAAATTCTTTTCATTTAACCCAATTCCCTTAGGCTACAACTTAAGCTTATTTCCTCATTTTGCATCCTGTGAATATGAAAAAGCGTCTTGTCATGGCCCTACCTGTCATGCATGGACTGTGAAGTTTCCTCCCAATGTTCCTTCTATTGGACTCTTTGATTCCTGTTGAATTGATGTTTGGGTTTGTCATTTTTCTTTAGAGACCCAGTGCATGGATAGATAGCTTTAAAGAATGTATCCTATATCATCTTCATTAGATGAGAATACTGTAAATGATTACAAAGATTCTATGATTCATTTGTCCAGCAGAGAGGATGGTCTGTTCAAGTTTCTAAGAATACTTAAAAATAAACAAGGGACTCACTTTGTCATATTTCATCTTTATGCTATCAGAGTGCTGATTCCATAACACAGAACTCAGAATGCAACCAACAGAGCCCGAAGCCACATTCACATTCCTTATAGCTTTATTTCACGTTGAAGGATTGCACTCATGAGACCTTCAAAACAATGATCGGGAATAGAACAAACTGTCATACTTCTAACCCCAAGGATAAGTTTTCAGTCAAGTAATGTAAGCTCATGCACATTGATTTCTGCTTGCCAGAATGACTGCCCCTTAGTTAGATGCTGGTTTGATGACTTCACTCAGAGCTGAGGCACTGCGGGTGAGAGGCAGGGCTGGAATGATGGGCAGGATTGCTTTTTATCTGGGTCTCCTGTTTGTCTTTTTGTCCAGTTCTCTCTGAGTTAGGCATGGACGAGTTAGGCATGAAGCATCAAAAATGACATCAATTTTAATATCAAAGTCAATGGGAATCCAGGAAATGAAAATATCTCATCAGGTCAAGCGTTTTGTTTAACAGGTCCAGTCTGTGTGTGGTGCGGTGGGTGGGAGGAGGAGGTCGCGATATTTGGCTTAAGGCATTTTGAGAACCTTAAATTCAGAGTTGATCTTATAAGGAGATTGACGGTAAGGTTGCCTGTAGGGTTTTGTTTCAGAGTCCCCAAAAGGCCTTTATGTTAAAAAGAACCTTCATTAGGTAACTCTCTAAGGCTTAAATTGTCACCATTAGAAAGTCACTCCTCTGGTTTAAAGTTTTGTCATAAGAATGCAAATTCCTGAGAGAGAACATCACTCACTTATTCCATTCCTTCCAGAAGAGAGAGGTCGATGAGGATGCGCAGCCCAAGGTGAAGTGATTGTGGTGGGTAGGGAGGAAGAGTGCTCCCAAGAGAGGAAGATGGTGGGGGAAGGTGGGGTGGAGGGTGGTGGGGTGGTAAACAGCTCTGGAGGTCTTACAATTTGTTTTAGGATAGTATGTTTCAGTGGATATGGTCATCGATCATTGATAATAAGAGACCAATTCCGAGGGAGCATGAGCTTCTGGCAGAGCTGGGCTTTGGAGTTGGGCAAAGCCATGTTTGTAGTTGGCTCCATCCCTGGTGTAGCTGTGTGACTCAGCACAGAAATTATTCTGTGCTGTGTCCAACGACAAATGCAAGGTATCGCAGAGAAGAACAATGAAAATATTTATAAATTGCTCTTTTCATGTGTCAGTAATAAAAGTAAATCATGTTCTGGCCTAGGTAGCTGTGTACTGATTGAATCACTAGTGCCTGGTAGAAAATGTGACAGTATTTAGGTTTTACAGTTCTCACATTTTAGAATGTCTATTCAAGATCTCACTTTTCTTGAGGGAGATTTGCTGTAAAGAAAAGTGCGATATGTATATTCATTCATTTATATTCTTCCTTGGGAGAAACACTCAACCATGAGCTTCCATTTGTAGTTTTCGGATATCTTGTTTTGCTTCTACACACCTTTTAGTCAGTGTGAAATGTTGGATTCCTGGGAATGATTCCTGCTGAAGTTGCTTGTAGATAAGGAAAGGTAAATGAAAATTAAAGAACAGTAACCACTATTGCTAATTTTAAATGCCTAGAAAATGATTGGTGTCTTCATAGTCTTCCCAACTCAAAATTTCCCAAAGAGCATGAGCCTACTTACCTGTGATTCCTCCCTCACAGGTTTACAGGAACCTCACCTCTGGAGTTGGGAGGGAATGCTTTGTAGATTTTTGTCCATACCCTAACATCATGCTTCTGTCTCCAGAATAGACATTCTTTCTCTAACGCTTCAAAATCCTCAAATTCATACTCTTCTTTCATCCCTTGAATTTCTCTAAGGAGTTCTTTCCCTTGCTAATCATTTTACTCCAGAGGCAATGGGCAATTTTGGGAGGAGTGATGTGTGTTAGAATTATCTATGTTTATTCTGTTCAGAATTTTCATCCAATATTAAAATCACATACTAACTCACATATGTGTCATCACTAAACATGCTCCTTTTCTTTTCTTCTTCCCTGAGACTCCAAATGCGTTTTTCTTAAAGTTACTGTTTAAAGGTTGTTGGTTTTGTTTTTAGGTTACTTTTTTCTTTCTTGCAGCATGCTTTACTCAATAGTCAGTTTCAGTTCCAGGTTTGCCCTAGATTTGTTTGACTGTTGCTTGAATATTTCACACACATTTATATTATGTTGCATTACAATATCAGTTACATAGTGAGTAGAGAGATTTTGTTTGACAAAATGTTATGTTTCACTTTAGTAATTTTGAAAATGAAGTGAATTTCTTTGGAACCTCATAAGTCAAGATAAAAAAGTGATTGTACTTGGTACTAACTTGTTTTTCTTCTGGAACACAATATGGAAACATTTAAATTAGACATATGCAGATAGAACCAGAGTTTTACTCGCCCTTTAAGCTGTTGATGATCTTGGTTTGTTTTCTTTGTGGAAATGAATGCTGCTGTTATCTCACTTAGAATACAATGGATATTTTTCTTAATCAGGACAGTTTTATGCTGTTCTCTCCGAGACGTTTAAAGATTGTCCAACTGTACCACACAACATACTAATAACTTATTTACTATATAAATGCTACTGGAGAGTATGGCAAATTACTGATTTGTTATTCTGTCACTAGCAAGACAGTGTAATCAAGCCAGACAATGCCTAAAGTTTATATTGATTTATTTCCCTTTTGGTTTAAATTTACCACCTACGGTTATCCAAAATACACGAAGGCCTGTGGGTTTGGTATATTTGTTTTGTTGTCACACTGTAATGCTGTGCAAATACATGACTATCCTTAAAGTCTTTCGGATCATACTGATTAAACGTCATTTACTGTTTTCCTAACAATATCAAAGACGATTAAAAAAATTCGTTTTCCCAATCTGTTATTGCCATGAGTTGATAGTTGCGCTGTTTACATAGTTGACCACCCACTGAAGCCAAGGCATGTGAAACTGCTGTCCACTAAAATGGGCCTGAAAGTCACGTGGGACCCACCCAAAGATGCTACCAGTAGACCTGTGGAGCATTACAACATTGCCTATGGGAAGTCACTGAAAAGTCTTAAATACATCAAGGTGAATGCGGAGACATACTCCTTCCTTATTGAGGATGTGGGTAAGTGACACTCTGATCTTGTTCCCAGTCAGAATTAACTGTGCACCAACATTCTCAGTTGCATTCTTAGGATGACTGTGAGACAACCCATGGCTGGGCTCAAGGTCCCTTACGGTTCTTTGGGAATGGAGAGCTGAGTTCTGAGATGCTTGTCGGAGGCTGCTGTTTGACAGCCGGTGTGGGACACTTGGGCTTCCCCATCCGTGCATGTGAACTCAAGTATTCCTGTTTCCAAACTGATGCAGCAGATGATTTTTAGTTTCTGAATGTGTTTTCAGAAAGTAGATTGATCCTTTTTTGCTTCATAGAAACTTCACTGCTAGACAACTGAGTGGGCTGATCTAGAGACTTCGAACTTATATGCCATTTTATAATCAGGGATTGGGCAAGTCGTATGCCCCTGGAGATGTGGAATACGTTATGCCTAGCCACGTCTGGTTAAAGATGTAACACTTTGCCCCATTTAAATTTGACTTTAACTTGATTCTGGAGGTTTGGAATATTTGAGATTTTGCCTCAATATATTTTGTCTTATTAAGTGCAGATGTAGTTGGTTTTGGGCTTAGGCTTCGAGCTGCCTCTGAATCCTCTGTCTTCTATTTTTGATTCCAGTAACCTAAAGCCCCATTGATTCTTGAACCATGTCATGGCCCAACATTAAGATGGATCATAAGGAAGGAAGAGAAGTCAGCATTTAGGAAACAGGTCTCCTCTTGTGCCACCTTAGCACTTTGATCCTTTAGTGGATCATGGGCTCCTCAGCTTTGGTCCCCTGACCACAGCTGACCACACTTACTCCTTCTCCACCTCCTGCATTTGACATCACGCTTCCTGGGTAACAGAGCAGAAAGTTTATAAAAGGGAGATGAAGGAAGACAGACTCCCTTCCTCATGGCTTCAGCTAAATGTCCATTTCCCTTAATCTCTTCCACGTCACCTTGGCTCCCCAAGTCCAGCTGTGAAGTTAAATGGAGATTCTATCAGATCAAAGGCGTGAGCAGATCATATCTCCTTGCTCAAACCTTGGGTTGTTATGATGGCTGCAGAGAAGAAAAACATGTGAAAAGAGAGTCGTAGAGCTCACTAAAAAACAAATAGTATCTCCCAGACAACTTTCTGATGAGTTAACTGTATGGGTATCAAACACATGTGGATTAAATTTCTTTGAAATACAAACAAGCTCAGAGTAAAGAGAGAAAGTGTCTGGCGAAGCATGATTTTGCATTCTGTCTGACCCCCGGGCATTTCCCCATTAGCCTGGCAGGTCGTGCCAAACCCTGAATGCCACCAGGCCCTGCCACAGTGAGACAGAAGTCACACCAGTCTTGATCACAGCAGGCATCCCAGGGGGCATCAGCCAGGCTTCTGTTCATGGGCCTCTGGCTTGAGGACTGAGTGAAGTTTTGTTATAATAATGCTCCCTACTTTGAGAAATGTCATTGTCATTATGACCTTTGACAGAACTAACCCTCACCTCTCCAGCTCTCGTCCCCTGAAATACCCACAGACTTTCGTCTCTTCAAGAAATTGGTACCCCACTTACCTGTCACAAGACAGTGATTCATTTTCAGGAAACCTAGTACTTAGTAGGGTTTTACCTTGCAGAGCTACACGTTCAGGGTGCCCTCCCCTGTAACATGGGTCTTCATTTCCTTTCCCATCCCATCAACTTTAGGAGCTCAGCCCAAGAGACCTCTGCTATTTGGCCTTGACCCCTAGATGAAAGTCAAAAAGTGAAGCCCAGTTATGTCAAGATTAGCATTTCCAAGACTCCAGGATATATATATTTTTCTAGCTTTTTGTTGGAATGGTCAAAAACAACATGCAGACATAGTAAGGGGAATATTTTATTATGAAAAGGAGAAAATTTCATGAAGCTTTATGTATTGCAGTGAAGATTTCCCATGTGCTACATTTTATGGGTTACATTGACATTTCTTATTATTTTCTGGAGATTTTCATTTGGAGCCTCTAATGGGGAAGGATTATTAGTAGTGACTGACAGTGTATGTTCAAACACCTATTTAGTGGACAAGGAGTTCCTGTTTCCTACATGGATTTCACATTAAAACCTTCAAAAGCTCTTTTTGTTGAGTGTTGATGAATCCAGGTTTATTACACATGGCATGTACCTTGTATGAAATAAAGTTTATGTTCTTTGGGTCATGTGTTTTTCAGTTGCATGAGAAGAATGTTAGTGATTTTAATTTAAAAAAAGAGAGACATCTATCATTATGCTTGTCACTGAATTTGGATTTTTGTATTTGGTTATAACTGGTATAAGGAAGATGGTTATGCATGGTTAGTGAGTGAAACTGTGTCATTCTTGGAGATCTGAATTGGTGGCTTGATATGAACCGTATGTTTCAGAGCCGGGGGTAGTGTACTTTGTGCTGCTTACTGCAGAAAACCACAGTGGAGTGAGCCGTCCTGTTTACAGAGCTGAAAGCCCACCTGGTAAGTCCTATCTAGAATCAGAGGCTGTAGTGTTGTTACTTAGATTGGGAGAGACATCCCTCCTTGCTTCTTCCAGTAAATATAAATTTAGAGTTATTAAATAATTTTTGAACAAGAACTTTTTAGACTTGTATAGCAAGCTGACAGATTGAAAAGTGGAAGAGGCTTATCCTTTCTTTTAAAATAGTTTTAATGTAGGTTATTAGCATTTCATCCAGATGTTTTGAATACTTACTGAGTAAACCATGTGTAAAAGACCTAAAATATGTATTGTCCGTAAAGCTGAGGTGTCCAGTCACTAATATGGGCTGAGCAGATCCTTTTGAAGATGGTTGAAAAGATCATTTAATTATACATTATGGATGCACTGTAATGTGGAAAACCCAACAGTCCTCGTTTCTAACTATCAAGTTGCATTTCCCTAATTTAGGAGGTGAATGGATCGAGATTGATGGTTTTCCCATTAAGGGTCCAGGACCATTTAATGAAACCGTCACAGGTACTACTTCCTCCTTCATGTCAGATTCATGTTTTCACTGAAGCATCGTCTCGCAAGAGAGTTGTGCTTCCGTCACACACATGTGCTCACAAACCTTCACTGAGTTCCCATCGCTAAACTAACACACACGCCACACAGTCTTGGTCAATCTGTTCTGCATCCAATGAACTAGACTGTAACCAGTGTTGCTTATTGTTCACCGTTCTTTCATGTTCTCGCGTGGGGAAGTGTCTGCGTCTACATCTGGGGATATTGTTGCCCTCTTCATAGGCAAATATGGTGGTTGAGATGGCAGTACTGACCAGATTAGGATATTTATAGCTCTTCTACCAGTGAATCAATGAATGGGGTCCCCCCAAAATAGTGGCTTTTATGGGCTAACATGTTGCTTCAAGTCTTGCTTTTTTCTTACAACCTTGGGATATTTTGTGATATGTTAGACGACCTACCTTCCATCTCTGCTCCATATTTGTGTATCTGTTTGTTTTCTCATTTGGATGTTGATGTTGTCTGGTCATATTGTTTTACTTACTGAGAAAAGTGTTGACATTTCTTGTGTGTTTCTTGAATATATTTAATTGATGGTGAAAAAATAATGTAAAATGAATGCAGTTATTTCAGAGTGTGGTTGGGTAATATCTCAAAAGCACTATGGTGAGGAGCTGTGTTTTATTTTCACATGCCATGTGTTTAAATATATCAATCTGGAGTTCTTGTTGACAGGAAGGTGAGTATGATGAAACCAATGATGATTATCTGCTTTTCAGACCAGATTTGATAGTGTAGGTGGTCTTCACAGTGCATGCTATATGAAAAGGGGGTGGAAGAACAAAACATCAGAAAAGAAAACTGGCTTTTGGGGAGAGACTAAGTGTTCTTGTTTGAATGACTATGAGGTGTTGCAACAGAAATGTCTTGTAGCTGATTTGAGAAGAGAGAATGGAAGTTGGAAGAGGGAAGTAAGAACGAGACATGGACTTAGGAGTCATGCTATAAGGCAAAAGTTGAAGTAGAGAGCTCATGAGTGGCTGAGGATTAGCAGAAAGAAGATCAGGAGGCCAGGAATCAAACCATGGAAATTCAGTAAAATGGTCAACAAGTTAGTACAGCTAGCAAGTGTGCAAAAGAAGAAAAGGTGTTTATTTTCAGAGGTTGTTTACCTCTGAACACACACATGTAAACAGACACGTGTGAACCTTTTACTGATGGATGTGTGTGCCTTGCATTTGAATCTTATATTTTGTGTTTTAAATAAGCGTCTTATTTTTACATCCTTCCTGATACAGTTTTTTGAATGACAATAGCTTTAGAACAAGTGATTTTCTTGCTTTTTCAGAAGTAATTAATTTCTTATGCCCTCTTTAATAGTGTGTGTGCACACATGTGTATGACCTTTCTGAGTAAGTGAGCAGAAACCCTGGGGACCAGGGATCAGACAGCCGTGTTCCAGCTCATTATTGGTTGTATGTATTGTGAGATTATTGAACTTCTATCTGCAGGAGGCTTTGCAGGCCCTGGTTGCCAAACCACTCTGCTATAATACATGATGTTTCATTTGTCATACATGGTGATTAAAAAAGATACCAGAAGAAACTGCTGGCTCAAACCACTTGAAGCATGTAATATAAAGCAGAACTTAAAACAACAACAACGACAACAACAAAAAAAACCCAGGAATATCCAGAATGCACAGACTAGGTTAAAGTACTTCACAAATTACATTTCATTGTTAATAAAAATAATAATTTATGTGAAGTTATCAGTAAGTGATCACCATGTATCTATACCTTTTGATGAGGCTTGGAAAATATGATCTGCTATTATTCCGAGAAATTGTTAAATATATGACAATCTTGCCAAACAAAAGAAGTATTCAGAATTCCCTGTCTTCATTCAAAGAGGAATTTGCCTTCAAAAATGCAGACATTAGCATGGGCACCTGGTGTAAGGCCCAAAGGGATTCACTTTAGTGCTTTGACTGATAGGGTCTCACATCCTTCCTGTGTTTTATTAGAAACCAGAGGAATATCCATTCTTTTAAGCTGCTAGAAACAATGGCTGCAGTTCTGATTCCAGAAGACCTCCTTTTGCAGGCTTACAGCTATCTCAACTGAATTGTCTTTACCTAAAAATAGGACTTTAGTTATTCAATTAATTTATTACAGGCGGAGGTCTAGGTGTTAGAGATACAAGCTAGACAAGGGATCACCTCAATGAAACTTATATTCCAATGAGAAAGAAAGATAACAAACAAATATGCACAAAATGTTGCATATAATCTATTAATTTGCTGGGGCTGCCATAACAAAATGCCACAGACTGGTGGCTTAGAAAACACAAATTTATTTCTCTTGATTATTGGGTCTAGAAGTCCAAAGTCCCGATGTTGGCAGGTTTGATTTCTCCTGAGGCCTCTATCCTTGGCTTGTAGATGGTCACCTTTTTGCTGTGTCCTTGAATGGCCTTTCTTTGTGAACATGCATCCTTGGTATCTGTGTGTCCACATTTCCTTTTTATAAGGTCACTAGTCAAATTGGATGAGGCCCCAGCCTAATGGCCTCATTTTAACTCACCTCTTTGAAGACTCTATTTCTGAATATGCTCACATGTGAGATACTGGGGTTAGGACTTCAACATATGAATTTGGCAGAGGGGGCACAATGCAGCCCATAACACATCATGAATTATTTTAAAAATAAGCAGTACTGTAATATAGAATAAGCAGATGGGAGTGACGGTTTGGGAGCCTAGGAGACACTGATAAGATGGTGGCACCAAGTTGAGATCGTAAGAGACTGTGAGGGTGAAGCCATGTGGGGAGGAGGAGGAGGACCATGCCAGAGAGTCCTGGAGTTTGGGCAAGACTTAAGCAATTCCCAGACTGGTCAGTCGTCCAAATATGAAACCTCTCAGCACTCAGGAAATGACAGGATCGAGCGAGAATGCAGCACGAGGGCAGCAGTTTTGGCTCCTCTTGTGTTGCTCATCTCACTTCTCCGAGCCGGAAAGCTTTCTTTGTACTTAATGCAGAATCCCTCTTGCTGGGATGGAAACCTGTATCCTCTTGTTCTGTCCCCAGGGAAGAGATGTCACAAGTCTGTTCATTTATTGGAATACTGTTATGGAGCTTTTCTGCAGACTTCTTTTCTGCAAGTTGTTTTGGCTTTTTTTGTGTAACAGGATCTGGGTAACCTGGCAGTGCAGAGCCAGGCCCTGGGGGTCAGGACAGGGACACAGACACATCCCCACTCTGCTACCCGCCAGCCTAGGGCCTCAGCCCAGCTAGTTAGTCAGCTTTTGTCAAACTCTTCATTTGGGAAACAGTATTAGGTTCTGGTTAAGTATAGTTCTGAATATGATCATATCTATTTAATCATTTTTAAGGTTTTTCTAAAAATCAAGTCCTCTGTGCTTTTCTCAAGTTTTGGAGCCTAAACTAGGCCTAGTACTGAAATCAAAGTCTAATTTCTGCCTCATTTTTCTTTACATTATATTTTAGTTCGCGACGCTTGCTCATTTTTTTGGACAAACGATAGCTTGGACTCAAGTTCAGCATAGAGTCCACAATTACTCCTTGGCCATTTCCAGACGATGCTGCGTGACAATCGCTTGCGGACCAGACATTTCCTTATCTTGGTCACCCACTGACTTCCGGGTTGCTCCCTAAATCCAGCAACTTCAGGCACTTGCCGCATAGTGGGTCTGTATTCCAGGCATCCATGACAATGACCCATTTGATATTCTCACCTCCTGGCTCTAACTGCCACCTCCCCTCATGGAGTTAAAGTTACAGATAGAGTTGATCCCTTCCAAAATCTAGACTCCTGGAATCCCCATCTGATCACCATCATCTCACTTCCTCAACACCCTCACGTCAGAAGCTTAATTTCAGACCATAGTAGACTTTGGACCTGTAGACCCTTCCCAGCTGTGGGGTCCAGAAGCTGCCGCTGTCCTGTTTCTTCTTTACTTTATCCAGGTCCCATCATTCCAACCACACTCCACATGCAGGTCTGCCCCCGTCATTTCAGCGGCCTCACTGCTGCAGTGCTACCTCTGCCCGTCGCTCTGCCAGGACCCCCAGCTATCTAGCTTTCTCTGTCTGCCATGCTGATGGCTGGGCTTTGTGAGACAGATGAAGAGCTGATCTGATTTGAGTTACAACAGCTTGTCAGAGCTGGTTTTCTCACTTCATCCAGGTCCTCAGTGCTGCTTGGCCACTTCCTGATTGTCCTCACACAGTTTCCTTTCTTTATGCCACAGTGGCTAGTCCAAAATGTCACCACTGTGCTCCAGCCCATTTCCTGGCCTGGGTTCCTTTCACTTCTAGTAGGTGACTTGCTTCCTGCTTCCCTGGGGGGATGAAGGTTTCAGCTGACATTGCCCCTCTCCCTTCTTCTCCCTCCTGAACCCTCACTGCTCCCTGCCCTCCTGCTGGCTCTAGGGAAGGGCTGTTGTCACCTTCTCTTTAAGGCTGACTTCATCTACATCAGTTTCTTGGAAAGCATGGTAGACCTGAGGGCAGATCTGGGGTGGGATTCATCTTTGGATCCCTCCCAGTGCCTGGTTCAGAAAGTTGATACCTACTGTTGAACTAATTATTTGATACCAAAACAATGAAACTATGAAAACATGAAAAAACAAAGTTTGGCATTGTAAAGATTTCTTATCTAGCACTCTTTTCATGGGCATAGCTACAGATTGATGGGACATGTATACCCCAGACTTGTATTTTGGCCTTTTCTGTCAGTATTTCATCAAAATGAGCACCAACTTTAAGGCATATGATCTTGCTGGTTTATTTAAATATGACTGATGTGGAAGTTGAAAACTCTAAACCTAGTGTCTTGAGATGGCTGTCTCTCCAATCTGCTGATTCAAGAGCATAATTAATCCACCAAACCATAATCTCGACACTGTTCACCTCTGAACACCTGGCTCCGGCTCCAGGTTCAGGCCCTGACTAGCTCTCAGCCATCAGCAACTCCTGTCTTCCAAATACCAGATTTCTCAGCTATGAAATGATGGGATTCAACAAGAGGCTTCTAGGTTCCTTTCTAAGAACTTTCTTAGGCTCCAAATTTCTTTCTAAGGTTCCAAGTTTCCTTTTAGTTTTGAAATGTCATGAAACTATGAGGCTGAGTGGACGGATTCCACTTTTAATGAATGATGCTAAGCTTTGTGAGCAGTAGAAAACCATTTGTCATACTGAACAAATGGCTGTTTTCCTATTTTTTTTACCCTACTTTGAATGTTTTAGGTCATTGCATTCAAAAGTCATATTAGTGAAGGAAGAAATGCTAAATTGTAATTTCTGCATTTTGAGAATGTACTTAAAACACACCAAAGGTACACAGAAGAAAGACTCATCCCCAGTGATAATGCTGGAAAGCACCTCTCCCAGGGCCCCCTTGTTGGGTGTCCTCCCCTCTGTTTGCAATGGTGGAATTCTGCTGAATGAACCAGTGGAGATGGTGATGTCAACTTATTTAAACTGACATGTGTCATTGGCACTTGGTGCAAAAGGTGCCGGCAGAGTAAACCAATAGGCAAAGCAAGGGCTCCACCAGATATTTCTGCAGCCAGGCAGTGGAGCTGCTGTGCACCAGACTCGTGCTTAACATGTACCCCAATTCAAAAGCAAGGAATTAATTATGAATCAAAGACTGCCTTCTTTCCAAGTACAATTTCAATCAAAGCCTTTGGCCAATGGGGAATTAATGCTGTCTGTGACATTACTTTCACAGTAGCTTTCTCATGCAGTTATTAGTTTTATTTAGTGTGCACTTCACAGGACAAAAGTTCATGGCCTGGAAGGTGAGCTCCTTAAGGGCAGGGTGCTTTGATTTACTCATCTTCCTATCTCCAGAGCCTGGGGCAATTGCACAGTGGGTGCTCAGGAGACATTTGTTCAGTGGAAATGCATTTGGCGGTTGCTTCTGCCCCATACCTGTGCTTGGTAGAGGAGTGGGCATTGACAAGAGTGTTGACAACAGCTGGGGCTTGGACGTTGCAGAGGTGCCTGTGAGAAGATTGGGGTCACCTCTGTCTAGTTCAATGTTGATTCGGGGGGTTCTGGGCAAGCCCGTTTGTTGAACTCAGATTGGTGCTACCATTAATCAGAGATTCTACTTCTTGTCTTTTGCTACTGTGAGGGCCTGGGCCAAAAAAAAAGATGTGTGCATCTGTAAACTGGAATTCTTTGGGCTGGCTGGTCTATGAAGATGAGGTGTTTGCACAGCCAGATCCATGGGCTGTGGGGTGGCCTGCCCACTACTCCC
Source organism: Homo sapiens (assembly GCF_000001405.40). NCBI lineage: Eukaryota > Metazoa > Chordata > Mammalia > Primates > Hominidae > Homo > Homo sapiens. The sequence continues at coordinate 159,206,863 of NC_000006.12, forward strand.
TCCCAAGGAAGTACTGCCCCAGAACGAGCCCTTCCATCTTAAGGGCTTGGATCTCTTCATCCGGTGCTCGTTTCAAAGCTGCCTCTCATGTTAAAATACAGCTAGACTTTGCTAGTTGTAGAGCCCATTCTTTAGGTAATAAAAATGTGGGAGACAGAGGTTTGTGTGAGAAGCTGTTTGACTCCATTTAGCCAGATGTCCCTGGGGAGAAGCAAAGGCCTCAGGAGTCCCTGCTGGCACCCCCCCACCCCAGCAGAAATGCCATGGAAGGGAGGCAGGAAGGAGCTAGCTGGCCAGAAAAGAGATTGATTGGGCACAGCCTTCTCCTACCTTTGAGGTGAAATCACAGGCATTTCACGTGAAGACACAAGCAGTGGGGGTAAGGCCCTTTCTTAGGACACCAGGATGTGTGCTTATTTCAGAGGCTGATGAGCGACTGTTCCGACTGTGAGGGGCGGGGGCTCTGGGAAGGTGGGAGATGGGTGGTCCCTGCCTGTGCCACCTTGCATGAAGCACTTGCCTTCAAGTCCTGGACTTGCCTTCCAGTCCTGGAAGAACCTACAGTAGTTTAATAAAACCTAATACTTCTGATGAGGCCAGCATCTTGGGGTTCACTTGCTGCTTTCTGATTGATATCTGGGCTTTTCTCTGGATGTCTGTGAGAAAAAGAGGGCAGGTGTGGGTCTGTGATACCTCTGAGAGGGGAAGCAGCTTTTGTGGGACCCTTGCAAATTCAGATATTAATCCTGAAAGGAAGCACTTTCCTTTTTAAACTTATCAACCTACTCATATATTGTAATTGGATCTTTCATTTGCAAGTGAAGCCAATGTGTGTGTGTGTTGGAGAACAGTTAAAAATTGAAGTAACCAATAGACGTTCAACAAAACAAGGTCTTTGATTGCCAGAAAACAACTGCATTACTTACCATTCTATTCCCAAAGGAAACAAATACAGAAGAACTTTAAACTAAAACAAACAACCCCGACAAATCAAAACTCTTTGAACTGACGTCTGGTGTTAAATTTTCCTTAGAATATTTAACACTCCTTCTCTTCGCTTAGAGGCTATGAGGCCATCTCTGTGTTATACTGTGGGGATCCAGCCATTAAGATTGGAAAAAGATTATTGCTTTCTTTGCTTTCTGTGGCCCTCATGAATCCTGTAGGGGAATGGCTGAGAACTAAAGCACCACGAGATGGATCTAGAGTAGATGCTTCTAATGACTCTATACACTCACGCCAATAACGGAGGAAACTTTCATATCCAGTCCCCCAAAGAAGCTGCCTGATCCTTCCACACTGTGTTGGTGGGGATTGGGCTGGGGATGGGGAGTGAGTGAGCTGGGCTCAGGGTAGGACTGACCCCAAGCTGCTGTTGCAGATGGCACAGCGATGTCTACATCAGAATCATAAGATGGCTGAAGAGGGCAACTGGTATTGGTCTTCTGGGTCTAGAGATAAGCTACGGCCACAGATGGGTCACAGAGACTCTAGCCTTGCCTACACAGTGGCAGGATAAGGGAAAGATTCCCCTCAAAAGGCTTATGATCTATACAAATTGAGAGCCATATCCATGCAAGCAACTGTAGAACCTCTTAATTCTTGTGGTCGTGGGAAGGGCTTCATGGCCATCCTGTGTAGAGCTCTTCATTGTCACTAATGCAGTGGATGACCACCGTCTTGGCATTCGGCAGCCCAGCACAGCCTCAGACCTGTACTGTGAAACTGACGGCACAAAGTAGTTTTTCTTGATATTCATAGCACTCCACTAGGATCAATACCAAAGTCAGCTACTGACTGACATTTTGGGTGACATCCTGAAGCCACTGCCATACCTGTGATTCTCAGGGCTTCTCAAACTGGGATCCCCAGAACTTGGGAGAATGTGACACAACTAAGATTCCATGAAGGCCTAAGGTCAATAGACCATGTCCAACAGGGAGAATTTTCCTGATGGCCAGGCATTCAAATGTTATTTTTAATTTTTTTTTTTTTTTTTTTTGAGACAGAGTCTCGCTCTTCTCGCCCAGGCTGGAGTGCAGTGGTGCAATCTTGGCTCACCGCAACCTCTGCCTCCCGGCATCAAGCGATTCTCTTGCCTCAGCCTCCTGAGTAGCTGGGATTACAGGTGCATGCCACCACGCCCAGCTAATTTTGTATTTTTATTAGAGACAGGGTTTCTCCATGTTGGTCAGGCTGGTCCCGAACTCCCGACCTCAGGAGATCTGCCTGCCTCGGCCTCCCAATGTGCTGAGATTACAGCCGTGAGCCACCATGCCCAGGCTACTTTTAATTTTTAAACAAACACCAAAATATTATGGAGTAGTCTACAAAATGTAAATGCAATTTTGAGATAAAAATGAAGATTAGGAATGAATTTCCACGCTCCAGGCTTCTGGGCTGGGGGGATTCATTCTCTCTGCTGTTAGATAGACTTTGGTGAGAAGTTGGAAGAAACCTTAGTTAAGTGACAGAGTGATTCAGCATTTCTGTGAAACAAACAACACAAACTCTTTGAAATGGAGTGGCCCCAGGATAGCTTAAAGAGTTTACTTTGCACCTGAGAGAGTCCTGATGGATTTAGGGTACCCCGCTTGGGGGCACAGATGCTGGCAGCCTTGCACCAGCATCTGACAGCAAAATCCCTTTCTTGACTCCATGTCAAGTGGCATTTCCTGGGGCTTCCTGATTTGATGACACCCAGGATGTCAGGCAGGATCCTGGAAGGCAGGAAGCCAGAGTCTCTGAAATATTGGATGCTTGCTGTGGGCAGCAGAAATCTCGAACTGAAGGTGGTGATGTTGTCTGGTTTGTCTTGAAAGTTAGTGTAAATGCTTTATAAAGGTTCTTTGGGCTTCCACGATTCATGACATTAATAATTGGCATTGATTAGCTCAGGGGAGATCAAGGTCCTTTCCCTTTCTTTTTCTTTCTCTTTTTCATCCTTTTTTTCCTGCTTTTAAGACCTCTTCTTCCAATCCCTGAAAATGCAGCAAGAGTTTACTGACTGCAGGGGTTGGCTGAGGGGTGCTCCTCTGGCATCTCTGGAGGAAGCAGTGTGTTGCTGTCCTTAGTGTGCTGGCCACATGCTTGACTCCTCATCAGGGGTCTTTCCCAGAGCACTAGACACTTACACATTTAAGAGGAATAGTGCACTGAGCAGATCTTGATGGGACAGATGGTGCTGACGCCCTCTGAAGAGCAGTCGGGTCCTTGGGAACTGTGCCAGCTTCTCTGTAAGCGGGGCACATGCACATCTTGCCAGGGCGTCCTGGTGCTGCCCACCACATCCTTCGCCAGTGTGATTTGGGAGGCACCAAGAGGACCTTCCCCTGGAGAAGGTGTGATGCTTGTGCCACACATGGCTACTGGTGACACCAACTCTGCAACCACCATGAGCTTCTCAACAAGAGCTGCTACGGAGAGAGCTAGGGCTACCGATCCGACAGATGGGGTGCGAATTCTGGCTTCGGCTTCCTGCTGTCTGGTTTTGAGATGTTCCCTTAGCCTTTCTGAGCCTCACTTCTTTGGTCAGCAGATGGGCTGTGATTGGGTGCCTTCAAGGATGGCTGCCAAGTGCCCTTTCTCCTTACTGTTAACTAGCTGGGCCTAACCAAGTATCACAGAAAACCAGTACATAGTTACAAGTACTGAGGCTGCTTATGGGAGAGAAAATATGGCATTAAAGAGGGACTTTACGTAAGTATTGCAAATATTGGGTATGTAGAAGAAGAGTACTGTAAATCAATTCAAAGGTGTTTCAGGAGGGTTATGTGTCAGAACTTGCACAGGAAGAACGAGCCTGTGGTGGATGCAGGCTCGGGTGGCGTTTGCTGGAGCTCACCAACTTTGGAGATGTCAGGCAGCACCGGGCCTGGGCATGAGCTGGGGTCAGGGAGTTCAGATGCAGAGTATGGCCAACAAAGCTGATGTCCTGCCCCCATCTGGCTATCAGCAGCCGACCTTCACTGCTCCCGGACACACATTCTCACCCCTTTCCCTGCCCTCTCTTTCTTCTTCCTCTCAGGCTTCTCACCTCTTCCTTATCAAGCTTCTTCATCAGGAGTGCACAAAAGGCCTGGTCCTGATGGAGGTGGGAGGCCAGGTGAAAACACACCCTGGCCAGGTGCTTCTGGTTCACACTGAACTTCGAGCACCATGGCTCCGGCCTAAATGGCTGGACACCCCCTGACCCCCACCCCCGGCGTGCAGATTGGTGTCCACAGTTATAATGGAGGCTGGTGCTGGGGATGGTGGGGCAGCTGCCTGGGGTAAGGTGGGTATTTGAAGGCCTGTGAGCATCAGGCCTGCTCTTTCAGGTCACGGGGATAGAGATCAGGACCATCTTTGTGAAGTTGGTGGTCAGCGCAGTGGGGTGTCAGATCGGTCAGTGGGACAAACCAGACAAATTGCGGCTCTTCAAGGCTGTAGATGGAGTGAAACCTCACATTCTGCTGGGAAGTGAGCATGTCCTGCCAGGCAAGACCTGGGCCAACAGAAAGTAGCCGCCAGACAGCTGTGGTCATGCGTTCTTTTACACCAATGAAGAGAGGGATTTCGAGTGACTGATAATTGCTAGATGTTGATGAAGATGAATAACGCTCTTCATCTGGCTATAGGCAACCTCATATTTGAAAAGATTTTCAATGTAAAGGGTCCTTGGCAATAAGCCCTCTCTTTTGCTCACATTTGGTTCTTTGAAACATTTTTTTTTTTAGTGCCCCTGTATGCAAGGCCTGGTGGTAAGCTCTGTGATACATTCACGGCTCCCATTCTGAAGGGGGTTACCCACTCAGGTAGTGAATCTAGTAAGTGAGGGATTTCATTTTTGTCAGGCCCACAAACACAACTAGTGTGCTTAATACAGCATATGTCAGGTATGGCACCGAACGCTTTACATGGTTATATTACAAAGTGCATATGCTGTGCACTATTTTACAGAAGAAACTGAAATTCAGAGAGGTCTAAGCCACATAGCCTGTAATAGATTCGATTCAGACTTTGACTTCAGAGCCTGTGACTTCAAGCCCAATTCAGAAGCTACCAAGTTTAACTAGCATAGAATGGGTAAAACATCATATTGAATTTTAGATTATTTTCTTTGTAAAAAGAAGAGATTTTGATTCTATACAACTTCAGAATATTTGCCAATTTGCAAAGCCAGTGGCACAAATCCGGAGAAATACTTGAATCCTGTCTGGTTTCTGAGGTCTACTGCAATCTGGATGGTAATTGTTTCACCCAGGGGACCTGCCAAGTGGGTGACATATCATTAGTTGCCGCAGGTCTTCTGTTATCAGCCAGTTCTGAGTGCAATTCACCTGATTACGTTGTACCAACAGCAGTTGAGGGAATGTGTCCAGCCAAGTTTGAAGTACATTCAGCGCTGGTGGATGCAAGCTCCATTACCCTTGGCAGTTGTGACTTCCTGTTTTCAAGATAAAAGACTTACACAGATTTATTAGAGAATTTCAGAAGGCTTTGGTGAGGCTATCACATACAGCCCAGAGAGAACACTTAAATAGTTTAATTGCAAATGAATTTGAACCATATGGCTAGTTTTCTTAATATGCACATCAGTTTAAAAGAGGATTACCAGATGATCTATCAAAGATGTTTGATGGTATATATAACCAGAGTATTAAAGAAAGGAAATTTTCAAAATACTTGAAAAAAATGGGGTTGGTTTTTCTAAACCCAAAGATTTGAAAGAGAGACAATTGTGTTTAGAGGGAGGACATTCTCACTTCACTCTGGTTATTACCGAGACAGCGAGCTCCATGTTGTCTAGGGAACAGTTCTTCCTGGGTGGTATTTGGTGACAGTCCTTCTCTTGTCCGTTTGCTACCTGCTGAGAATACTTTTTGTTATATGTAATGCCTACTGGGCAAAGCAGTCATGTGTTTATACCCTGAAGGGAGCCTGTTGGCTCAAATCCCTTGTTTCACATTCATTAGAAGAGGTTGGGAGGTTGGTGGGATGGCCCATGGGGTAAGGAGGAGCTTAAATGAAAGGGGCATCATGGAAAGGGGATGAAACTGGGAATCAGAATGGCTGAACTCTGCCTGGCCCTAAACAGCTATGTGACTGTCTGTCAGCTACTACTTCCCCTCTGTGAGCCACAGTTTTCTCATGGGGGTGATGAATCTATCCTACTTACCTTGGAGCTGTTCTAAGGACAGCTAGATGAACTATGTGAGAGCTTGCTGCAGAGCGAAACATTCCATAAAATAGGGGGATTGCAAGAGCCAGCCTCAGCCCTGTCCCCAAAGCTGTTCAGTGGGCCTGGTCTCATTCTAGGTTGGACAGCAAGGCCAGAGCCTGGAAGGGGGAAGCGTGTGCAATGAGCAGAAAGCTGTTGTCCCTGCTGTTGGGGTGTGTGGCTCATGTTTAGTGAACCTGGCATGGTGCAGGACAGAGCCACCGGCAGACACTGCAGGCAACAAGCTTGTGCCATCTGTGACCAGGCTCCTTGTCCTTGGAACTTCACTCCTGACTCCTCAGGGACCCCGACCCTCAGGAAATTTCAAAGACCTTTTAAAAAATTTTTATTGCAGCTTATTACGGTTGAGTGTCAGGGATTGCCGAGTCAGAATTGGTTTGTCCTGGAACAGAGAACTGCCATCCTCCCCAGGGCCCAGCAGGGACACTGTGACCCCCAGTATCAGTTTCCATCCCCAGACACACGGCTGGGAAGGTCTCAGGACTGGAGCAGAGTTCAGGGCAGAGGATGCTGTCTCTGCTCAATGATTTATGTTCCAGCTGACTCACATAAGACCAGTGTGTGTGTTCTCAGTAGATCTGCTCATTTTACTGGACTATACTTTTGGACTAAAAACAAAAAAAAAAAAACCTTTAAAACAATTACTACTTTGATTATTGGGGAAAGTATTTGTTGAACATACCATGGTGTTCTCTTAGTAGCCTATAGGAATGGGGTGCCCAGTGACTGGTTGGGTAGCTCCAGCTAATCTACAAGTGGATATTCCTTTTGGTTAGATTCAGGACGTTGGAACCAGGTGTCTGCCATTTCAGCATCTCCAAAGGCTATTGATTTATGTGTTCTTGAAGGGCATGCTGAATTGTGATATTAGATTTTGTTTTTATGTCTTAGTGTTGAAATGTTAGCCTAGCTGGGAATTTTCCAATCTAATAAAATTAGTCAGAATTGGTGATGGGGTTAATGTATATATGGAGGAAGAATGCTTGGGAACTAACTGCCTTACACAATTAAAGAGGTGCTCCTTAGCCTAACTGGATCCCCAAATGAGGGCTTACAATGTGGTTAGTGGCATATTCTAAAAGAGGGCAAGGTGGTAGTCACATGATCCATAACCCTTGTTTCCAAACATACCAGCTCTTATTTGATATACAAGCAAAATTTTAAACACTAAGTATTGATCACCAGAATACACTGCTTTGGGAAAGTTTATAGTGAGGGCATTTCTTGAGATTAACTGGCTTAGCAAGAGATTTCTCAAAACTGATTAATGTAGCAAGTAAAAAAAACAACAGACACAGAGGATAGCAGCGATGGTGTAGCATGGCCAGGCTTTGTCTGGAGGAGCAAGGCTTAGACATGGAAGAAAAATTAGGACCCAAAATAGAAATCAGTTAATGATTCATTGTAAAGGCAAGGAAAGCCCGTCTTTTCAACATTACAGTGAAAAAGCTTTCTGGAGGAGAGTTATAAATAGCACATAATGTCTCTCTGCTATATTTTTATACTGACCTTTAGCTCTTTCCTGAGAATATATAGTTTTGGCCTAAAGGGGACAAAAGGAAATAGATAAAAAGGGACACTGTAAAACATCCAAGATTTCTGGCGGGCAGTCTCACAACATGGAATGTTTTATTTTAATTTCTTGAGACCTTTTGGTATGAAATGTGGGGAGGAATATGTGGTTAGAGTATTGATACCCTTGGGGGAAAAATGTCCTTACTAGAATTAGTTACCAAGAAATGCATGTTTGAAGCTCAGCAGCTAATTGTTGAGGCTCAGGGTCTGAAGACCTCATGTGCATGATGGCAAACTCTAAGTGGTCTACTGTCTAACCACTTTTGTGTCCTGCCCTCTTTAAGAAAAGGAAGTGCCCAACAAGCCCTTGCGTGTGCGTGTCCGGTCCTCAGATGACAGGCTGTCCGTTGCGTGGAAGGCACCACGCCTGTCTGGAGCCAAGAGTCCACGCAGATCACGGGGTTTTCTCCTGGGCTACGGGGAGAGTGGCCGGAAGATGAATTATGTTCCACTGACAAGAGATGAACGGACACACGAAATTAAAAAGCTAGGTGAGTTTCATATTCATTGGTATTCAATGTTTCCATGGTCTTTGGGATCATTTCAATATTTAGAAGCTCATTCATGACAGAGCATTATATTTTAGTTGTAATGTCCACTTGCCAGATGTTACAATGATTTGAATCTCTACTGTTTCTTCCATGTCCATCCTGGACGCCATCATTTTAACCTTCTGTTAGTGGCAGCCCCAGGCTGCCTTCCTAGTGCCTGTCAGTTGCTTCCTGATCCGACAGCACAGACTCCTTGAGTCAGGCCATTTTCCTGGACTTGAGAGTAGGGCCAGTCTTGTCATCTTGGCTGTTTTTGTCATTTTGTTCTTTGAAGCTTTGTCTTAGAATCCTAGGACACTGGGCCTTGGGTCCCATTAAGATGAGACATGGTAGCCGAGTGAAACTGCAAGTCAGGCTTTATTAGGGTTCTCTAGAGGGACAGAACTAATGGAATACACACACATATATAAAGGGGAGTTTATTAAGTATTAACTCACACAATCACAAGGTCCCACAATAGGCCATCTGCAGGCTGAGGAGTAAGGAGAGTCAGTCCAGGTTCCCAAACTGAAGAACTTGGGGTCCGATGTTTGAGGGCAGGAAGCATCCAGCACAGGAGAAGGATGTAGGCTGGGACGCTAGGCCAGTCTCTCTTTTCACATTTTTCTGCCTGTTTATATTCTAGCTGTGCTGGCAGTTGATTAGATTGTGCCCACCCAGATTGAGGGTGCGTCTGCCTTTCCCAGCCCACTGACTTAAATGTTAATCTCCTTTGGCAACACCCTCACAGACATACCCAGGGTCAATACATTGTATCTTTTTTTTTTTGAGACGAAGTCTTGCTCTGTCTCCCAGGCTGGAGTGCAGTGGCGCAATCTTGGCCCACGGCAACCTCCGCCTCCCGGGTTCAGGCGATTCTCCTGCCTCAGCCTCCCGAGTAGCTGGGACTACAGGCACGTGCCACCACACCCAGCTGATTTTTGTATTTTTAGTAGACACGGGGTTTCACCATGTTGGCCAGGCTGGTCTCGAACTCCTGAATTCAGATGATCCACCCACCTCAGCCTCCCAAAGTGCTGGGATTACAGGTGTGAGCCACTGCACCAGGCCAATACTTTGTATCCTTTAATCCAATCAAGTTGACACTCAGTATTAACCATCACACAGGCCATCCTCCCTTTTGTCCAGCCCCTTATTGGGCAAAGGAAGCACTGGCCAGGGAATGCTGATGGGAACCTTTGCTGTGACTGGAAGAGATTATGTGCTCCTTCTGGCCTGGAGGGAGTTCTGATCTTTGCAGGCCGTATTCATCCATAAGCCTGGATAGCGGACATAGGCTTGGCTCTCTGAGGGGCACGACTTGTCGACTTATCCCTCGGGCCTGATGCTTCCTGCTTGTGGAGATAGTGCCAAGAGCCGTCTCACCCCTGCTCCCTGCTTCTCTCATTGGTGAGTTGGAAGGAGCATGGGGCAAGCATAACTGGGCCCTTTCATCTCTGCCCCTCGTGGGGAAACCGGGCCACAGAGAGCACACGCAGGGCCCAGGGCTGCTTGAGCAGAGAGCCTAATTCTGGGTTCCGTGTAAAGTACACTTGCCCTATGTTCTCCAGCTTGCTTCTTACTTACTGTCATGTAAGGGGGCTTTCAGCCCCCACAAATGACTGTTCTGGCATTTCCTAATCAGTTCAGTACTCAAGCAAGGAAAAGGATGTGATTGATTGGGCCTTCTAGAAGACTCCAGTAAGATCCAGGCTCTCTTCCCTTACCTGGAGGGGCCTCTTCCCTTATCTGGAGGGGCCTCTTCCCTTACCTGGTCTCTTCCCTTGCCTGTAGGCAGGGTCTCAGCTTCCTGCCCCGTGGTGTGGAGGCTGGAGGTGGGAGCGGTGGGGAAGGTGCGTGTGCTATGTGGGGATGCGCTGCTGAGAAGGCAGCCTGGCACCCATTGCGTGGCACCTACTTAGTCTTAAAAGGTAAAATCCTTCAGACAAGGAGGGGGATGGGCAGTGTGACTGAGATGGATGAGACCAGACAAGGGCGTGGTAAAGGAGGAGAGGGGAGAGTTGCCTAGGAGGAGAGATGCCGGCCTGCACAGAGAGAAACAGGGGCTCAGGAGACAGCCAAGGCTGGCGCGGAAACAGAGCACTTGCTTGGACGGAAGCCCGGCGAGCCCACACTCCTAGGCGCTCTGAGAGCTCCTAACTCTGAGGAAGGCACAGCCATGCATTTCGGAGCCTGGATAAGCAGCTCTGTGCTCTTCAGTACCTCCGAGGCCAGCCCCCTGGGTCCAGGTAAGCTGACTCTACTTTGTGTGATGCGGGCCAAATTCTACCCCGCATATCAGCAGTTTGGATTTGATCTGGTGGAGACATTGGGTGGATGGTCACATCAGATCCCTTCCCTGATACAGCCTAGGACGTCCCTTTTCTGTTTGTTGCTGTTCAGCCACCTGCTGAAGACTGTCTTGGAGGAGCTCTGCTGCCTGGTGGGTGTTCCAGGCACGGGCTGGCCGCATGGCATTTTGTGTGTTTACATGGTCTCCACATGGTGGCGTAGGCAGCCGAGAGAGCCAGGCGCAGCGTCAAAGCCAGCCCAGCGTATGGACTCCAGCTATTCAAGCAAAAAGGAGACCAGCCACCCCTCTGTTGCAGCGGCATGTGAAATGTCAAGGGAATGCAGGAAGCAAAAGTAGAAACTCTAGAGTGATGTGCTTTGCCAAGCATGACTTTAGAATTAGCAGCAAGACCTTGAATTAGAGACTCAACCCCCTGAAGCCACAGAGTAATTTGTATACCCTTCAGTCATTCCTTCCTGAGCCACCCCTACACAGGTGAGCTGACCGTACTTTGGTGATGCGGGCCAAATTCTGCCCGGCATATCAGCAGGGAAATAGAGTCCCTGGTTTTGCATCTCCGCTGTTGCAGGGGAGCTTTGTTTCAACGGACAGCTTGCTTTGTTCTGAGCCTTCCGGGAACGGCACACACTAAAGTGGCACTTAGCATCAACAAGTGTTTCAACTGGCTGGATCTGTTGTTGTTGTTGTTTTTATTTCTTCAGTGGTGAACTGCTGGCTCACCGGAACATAGTGGAAGGATGTTTTTTGCTGCCTGAACGTGAGCAAATATTGGACCTGAGATCGGGGTGGGCTCCGGTCCCCACCTGGGTGGACCGGACAGCCTCTTGGGCTTCTGGTAAAATGAGTTAGCTCTTAAATTTTCACACATATAAAGCACTAGACTTGCTACCGTGAATGATGTAAGAGATCACCGTGAGGAGGAGGGCTCCTGGAAGCTTGCCCCGTCGCGGGGAAAAGCGGGTGCAGGATGGGGCTGAAGTGGATTCTCCTCGCGGTGTTGGAATGGACCTGCCGTGTCATGGGAAGCCTGTCTACGCACTTATCCTGCATGGGATTTTCAAGCCGTTTATACCAGAGAGGCCACAGAACCCTTGGTACTACAGAGTGGTCGCATGTTAAGGAACCTTGAGGGGTGGGCCTTATGTCCTGCAGTGGAGCGCCACTCTCCGAGCCACTCTCTGTCACTAAACACGTCTTACTGGGCATCTCATGCATCAGACGCGATCCCAGGGAGGCACCAGTGTTGAACTGACTGTCAAAGGAGGCCCCACAGAGAAGGTGGCATTTGGGCAAAGACTTGCAGCCGGAGGGGCTGTGGAACTGTCAGGGGAGAGGAGGCTGCAGGACAGGGAGCTGAGAGGGAGCAAGGGACTTCCTTCTACAAGTCACCAAGGAGCTGTGGGAGTGGGGGAGGACATTTGTGCCACGTCCATTACACACTTGAGGTCGGAAAGTGGGCAAATGTGGTGGCACTGACTGGGGGTTCCTGGGGTCACTGGGCTGATGATGTGGGGGCCATTTTGGGAATTTCAGTTTCCCCTCTTTTTTTTTTTTGTGACAGGGTCTTGCTCTGTCACCCAGGCTGGAGTGCAGTGGCGTAATCTCAGCTCACTGCAACCTCCCCCTCCCGGGTTTAAGAGATTCTCCTGCCTCACCCTCCCAAGTAGTTAGGACTACAGGCACCTGCCACCATGCCCAGCTAATTTCTGTATTTTTAGTAGAGGCAAGGTTTCACCATGTTGGCAAGGCTGGCCTCGAACTCCTGACCTCAAATGATCAACCCACCTTGGCCTCCCAAAATGCTGGGGATTGCAGGCGTGAGCCACCTCACCCGGCCATTTCCCCTCTTTATTCAGTAATCAGGGGCACAGAAAGAGGTCATCTTGACACCATTGCATGTTCATCATATCTCTATGAGGAAGAGACAGCTTGCTGGGTGGCTGTGGCCTGGTCAGCTCTGCACCCGCCCCTCCTCATCTGCAGTTATTGAGAGCCAGGCTTTGGTGCCCGCAGATCTGGGTGGGCCCGCTTCCTTGTCTGTGAAGTGAAGACAACAACAGTAGCTTCTGCGCGGGGCTTTGTTGAGACTCAATGAAGATGCGCGCGTGAGAAGCTTAGCACAGGGGAGAGCTGTCATTGTGTTTACTGCAGAATAAAACTTTTTCTTAATGATAAACTTGGGCCGAGTTTAGTTTCAAGAGTGCAGCAAATCAAGAAATCTGGGCATTAAAAAAAAATCTCAGAACTTTAAGAAATACATTGAAGGCATATACAAATTTCAGTTGTGGGAAATTATTCGTTTCTTGAGAAATGATGGGACACTGCTTTCCATTAGTTACTTACAATGTGTCCCTGGACTGTGAGGTCGAATGGCCATTTTTGTTTGTTTGTTTGTTTACTTCTGGCGAGATTCCATTGTCAATAGCACCGAGTAATGAACAGATCTGAAGTGACTCCTCCATATAGAAGCTTAGTTTGATGTTCTGTGCATTCAAGTGTTACAAACTATTCCCTCCCTTTTATAAAACATTTTAAAATCTTCTGGTAGAATAAGAGGTGAGTGCCGAGTGCCTCCGTATAAATAATTTACTCATTTATGGCTAGAGTATCACCCGCTTTCTCTCTGTAGAGAGCAGGCTGTCAAATATTATCCTCTTCCTTTGAAACCTCTGATTCTTCTACAGCAGCTCACTGTCCATAAACAGTCCCTCTGTGTGAGAATTTTGAACACAAGTCTTCTTTCACGTTTAGCACAACATGCTTGTAAAGACAAAAGAGGGATTTCCTGCTGCCATCTGAACATGTGCAGTGCCTGAAGGAGAGTGCGTGCTCTCAGCTCCCCTTAGGATCTTAGTGTCACTTCCGTTAACTTACTTAGGTCCTACCTGATATTATAACTATTGGCACTAGAAATAGGCCAGATCGCCTCATTTTTATTCTTGAAAAGATTAAAGCTGCAACAGGAGCCTTGGTCAGAGAGTCTGGAGTGAGGCATTAGCAATTTTGGATTCAGGATAGATTGTAAGTTATTAAGTGTGTGACCCTGGGCAAGTCACTCAATTGTTAGGGCTTTATGTTCTTATTTGTAAGATAAGAAGGTCAAATAAAAAATAAAAAAGGTTTTACCTGGGTCTCAGACTTTATGATTCCATAGTAATTGAGAGGACAAGTTTTGTTCCATCATTGCATTTTTTTCTTCAAGTGCAATGGCCCCTGGTATACACTGGATTGGTTCCAGCATTCCCTGAGTATACCCAAATCCGTGCAGACTCAAGACCCTGCAGAATCCACGTACAGTAAAGGCTGGCCCTCCCTGTGCACGGGTTTGGCACCTCTGGAATACAATCCTATCTGCATCTGGTTGAAAAGAATCCACGTATAACGTGGATCTGCACAGTTCAAACCTGTGTTGTTCAAGGACCAGCTGTTCAATTTTCAAGTTCAGGCTAAGTTGCATGCTAGTGGGACCCTCGGAGGGTGCGGGCAAGAACTGACTGAAAGAACCATCCAGAAATAAGGGGTACATTTAAAGTCTTCCATGTGCTGTTAGCAAATCTTCAGAGACTCTGTTTTGAGGATTTTAGTTTTGAAGGGCACAGCATTCCACAGGGAAAGAAAGACCTGGGCTACTCATGTTGCACATTGGCTATTCTTTTCTTTTCTTCTTTCTTTCTGGTGACAGATTAAAAACAGAGTAACCTCCTCTTCTCAATTTTGGAAGTAGAAAGAAATTGGGGGAATTATGTGGGTAAACGTGTTATTCTTTTCTTTTTTAAAGCATTTATCTCTTTTTGATGATTTTGTTTTTGCTTATCTCTTTTTGATGCTGATGAGGTAGAAACCTATTTTTCAGGAATTACTGGTAAAAAATCAGTTCCCTATTTTCTAACATAATAGTGTTCTTTTTGAGTTTAATTCCTGCAGTTCTTGGGCTCGCCCTTCATAGTCCTCAAGAAGTGGGAATACCCCCAGAAAGAGGAAACGGAAAAAGGGGAAGGGGAGGAGGAATGCAGAACCCCCGCTCCAGCCCCAGGGGATGTGTGTTCCTGAGAAATGGAAGTCAGAATCTCATCCCTCACTCCCTGGTCCACAGCCTCGGAATCCGTGTATGTGGTCTCCCTGCAGTCCATGAACTCTCAGGGCCGGAGCCAACCAGTCTACAGGGCTGCCCTAACAAAGCGAAAGATTTCAGGTATGTTTCTAAGGATGCATTTGGTCAAACCATAGTCTGGTATGAATGCTATGTTGTTTCCAAATGATGCTGGCTGAATGATGAATTACATGAATTTTATTGAGGCTAAAAGAAATAACAGGGCAAATGTGGTCACATTTTGGGTGTAAGCGTGCTGCTTTTATATGCAAAGGCTAGAGTGCTCTTGTGATGGAATACATTTCACTGTTTATTTTGAGCCACTTCACTGTGCAGCAGATTTGCTGCGATAGGAGCAGCCAAGCGTTCATTCCAGTAAAGGTGCAGTGTGACCCAAGCCTAAATTGCCCTGGGTGATGCACTGAACGACGTGAGAGAGAAGGAAGAGCAGGCGGGAGGTGGTGCATGCAAGATAAGTACACACATGTTATTTCAGCTATATTTGCATTAAAATGGCATTGAGAATCCTCAGAAAAAGCATCATAGTGGTTTGCTGAGAGCCTGATCATTGTCCACACGGTTACATTTCCCACGTCCCTTCACAGGCATTTTCTATATTCCTGATACATTAACAAATGACAGGTACCTTTTCTGGACCACATACCTTAATTTAAAGAGGCAATCTACAACATAATTATTTTCATGAGTTCACAACATAAAATGAAAGTTATACTTTTTTACATTGTATGAAGTTCCACAAATACAATGTTTCTCTCTTATTATTGATGAATTGCTGCCATAGGATGAGTCCCTATATCACTTTTCTAGCAGGCTAAATATTTTCACCTTCCCCTGCTGGTGGTAAAATCCACATCCTTTTGAAACACGGTCCCTGAAAAGTGAAAAGAAAAAACGAAACAAAAAACTAAAACAAACAAAAAACCCAAGAGACTACAGAGTAATATTGAAGACATCTTGTGAGTCTTTTGAACTAAGACTATAAGCTTTGTGACTGTGATATGTTCTATTGATAACAAAGATAAATCTCTGTAAGAAATTGGCAAACTGACTTCTAGTTCATATCTGAACATGTTTTAATCTGTCTTGGACTCACACCTTCTAAAATGTGAGGACATCAAACCCAATGTGAATCTTGCAGTTGTTTGAACCAGAATTTTCATTTCATGCCATGATCATCAAGGAAATGTGAGTTGAGCTTTCCTTCTCCTAAACTTTTCTTCCCATGAAAATGTTATTATTTTCCAGAAGCTTACAGTGTATATTGAGAAAGCACTGAGTTACTTGGACCATCTTTCACCTAGGCAAAGCATCCCCTTTGTACTGTTTTATATGTCGATTGGGTTGGGCAGCTTTTAAAGTGAAATACTCATTTTTTTTTTTTTTTTTTTTTTTTTTTTGAGGTGGAGTTTTCGCTCTGTTGCCCAGGCTGGAGTGCAGTGGCATGATCTCGACTCACTGCAAGCTCCGCCTCCTGGATTCACACCATTCTCCTGCCTCAGCCTCCCGAGTATTTGGGACTACAGGCACCCGCCACCACACCCAGCTAATTTCTTATATTTTTTAGTAGAGACGGGGTTTCACTGTGTTAGCCAGGATGGTCTTGATCTCCTGACCTCGTGATCTGCCCGCCTCGGCCTCCCAAAGTGCTGGGATTACAGGCGTGAACCACCACACCTGGCCGAAATGCTCATTTCTTAGCCTGTATTTAAGAAATGCAAGACTGAGATTTTTGTTTTTCTACACTGACCAATCCAATAATTGTTTACCTTTCTATCAATTTCATTTTGTCTACATTACACACAAGCAATCTAAAACTTATGCAGGGTGAATAATAGCCTGTCAAGGACTGAGGAGCTCAGGGCAGAACCTGTTGTGAGAGAAAGCCTTTCTCTGGGTCTCGTTGTCATTTCAGAAGAGGACGAATTGGATGTACCTGACGACATCAGCGTCCGGGTTATGTCATCTCAGTCTGTGCTTGTGTCCTGGGTGGATCCTGTTCTGGAAAAACAGAAGAAAGTTGTTGCATCAAGGTACTTTTGCTTATTTATTTGTCTTTATATATGAGAGATGGGGTTTTTCTGGCCCTGAAAAGACATGTATTTAATGATTTTATTTTCTGACTTACATGAATGCTGGTCTCTTTTGTAGCTGAATAGCTGAATGGTAAATATTCTATGACAATCTAGTTAATCCCAGGTGTGCTCACACATTTCCCACAAATCAGATGTTAGCAGGGCCTCGTGTGTAGTGCACACAGCAGGAATTCACATCTCACTTGCTCAGTGATTTATCTTGTGTCTGGAAATTTCCTAGATTCCATTTCTTTCTTTGCCTGTGTTTGTGTTTTGCTTTCTCTCATTGATGTTCTGTTCATGCACAGGGTCCACTTTGGGAGGAGTCTCACCATTCCTCCTGTGATCCAGGAAGAGTCACTGTTAGATGGACTTTATGTAGAGTGGTGGACAATGTCTAATGCCTTACACTTCGTAGTTCCTCATTAGACTTTGCTGAACACTGACTTGCTTCATGTCTGGCTCATTTATACATAACAAAATGCACCTTATCTTCTCTTAAACCATGATGTTATGCTATTCTGCCTTTTATATTCATTTGCAACAGCAATAAAAGGCAAACCAATCATAAGGTTAAAATATTTTTATGTTAAAAGTCCACTAGTGAACATCATTTCTAGTTAGTGGTAGATTAGTATAGCCATGAAAATTTTATTTCCACGACTGAATACATTAAGTAACCAAGAGAAAGCCACAGATGTGGTGGTCTGGTTATTATATATTAACTTTTCAACCTCTCTGCAACCAAGAAAGGGGAATATAGTTTAAAACGAATGGGATATGATGACATTATATATATACATATATAAATGATTATTCATGTTAGATATATAGTTTCCTTCACTGTCTGCTAGTAAAAAAGATAGCTGCTTTTTTTTGAAAGACCTCAGAAGATTCGTAGCAATTCTCTCCCTAGCCATATGGTCTTCTTCAACATGAAGTGTTCCTTTTACCATTGGACTTTGATTTCCAACATCTTGCTGAAACCAGAGAAGGCTTGAGTTTTCTTAGCAGAACTGTTGTGTTAATTGGTGTCCTGTGTCTTCAACTGAAATCTTCTCTTAACATATTCAGTATAACAAATAGCACATTTTTTAATGTATCAAATGCTTTCTACTGCAAAGAGGCCACAAAGACAATTTCTTTGAAAGGGAATCTAATAAATGGCATTTGCAGCTCTTAGAGTGTTGAGGGTGTCCACTGTCAGGGGTTGCTGAACTGTCCATATTTGGTCATACTGTATTTCTCCCCCGATAACCATGCACCACAGTTCCTTTTATAGGTGCCTCTGTCCTGCTCTGTTTGTTTCACATTTTCACTCCTTTTCACTGTAGTAAGTCTACTCAAAACCACATGTTCCCGTTCCTCCTGAACCTATGGAAAACATGCCTGATTTGGGATGAAATGAGTCTTTTTTGTCTTTCTTTTCTGGAGAGCTGAGATAACCTTGGGCCAGGTCCCTACTAGTGCCTTGAGTAGACACAAATACAGACACACACACACACACGCACAGTCACACACACACAAACACATATCCCTGATAAAGTAGTTGCCTCATAAAAGCTGTCTCCCTTCTCTCTCTTCCCTTTGTAATCTCTGCTTGCTCTTTTGAATGGTAAGATTTTTTGGTCTTGAAAAGACACTAAGCTCTGTTTTTTTCTCCCACTTTAGACAACTTTGCTTGGAACTTTGAGCCAATAACATAGTCAAAAGTTTAGATTTTTCTCCTCTTTGATTTTCTTACTTACCTCCCAAAGTCATCACTTATGAGGAAGGAAAAACAGCGAGGCATCTAGTGTTGAGTGGCAGAGAATTTGGACAGATCATTGTGTTGTGTTTTCTTACAGACAGTACACCGTGCGCTATCGAGAGAAGGGGGAATTGGCCAGGTGGGATTATAAGCAGATCGCTAACAGGCGTGTGCTGATTGAGAACCTGATTCCAGACACTGTGTATGAATTTGCAGTCCGTATTTCACAGGGTGAAAGAGATGGCAAATGGAGTACGTCAGTCTTCCAAAGAACACCAGAATCTGGTCTGTATTTGAAATGGCCTTTGAATTTTCAATTTGGGAATTACACCCAAAATAAGATTTAAAGACAATGTAAGATGCCAATAGTGACAAAGGCCAGCGTGGGCATTTTTGAAAGTCATGTTAATCCTAAATTTTGGTAGAGTTTCTATGCGTACATGCAAAGAAGTTAAGGAACTGTTTTTTGGGTCCATGTTTTACCGTTTGTTGGCCTTTTCCACTAGCATGTTGTTCATGTTGTTCTGACATGTGGAGCACATTAAATCCCAGTGTGTAGCATGCATCAGTCACCATTGTGTGCGTGAATGCCCCCAGGTGATGGATGGCTCTTGCATGTAGGAGAGCCTCTGCTTTCCTGAGGCTGAGGTTGCATTTGATTCTGGGAAAAATTTTGGTCTGTATCCAAGGCTACCATTCTTTTCTCTTAAACTATGTCTTTCAAAGTTTCATTAAGAAGAAGTTGGAACTGGATCTTAATCTTCTTTGTATATTTCAATATTTGGCAATGAAAGAAATTCTGAATTACTAAGACCATTTCCCTAGATAGGTCTAAACTCACTAAATGAACTGTTGTAGTGACATAAATCACTATATTACACAAAGAACCAGTGTGGAATTTTCTGTCAGGTATAATAAAAATTAACACAGTAGGTCTTCAATTTAAAAAAATGTGTACCTAGAGACCATGTGCTATTTACATCTAGAATGTCCGGTAAGGCATTTAAAAATGTTTCTTTCCTTGTCATTTTGTAGCCCCTACCACAGCTCCTGAAAACTTGAACGTCTGGCCAGTCAATGGCAAACCTACAGTTGTCGCTGCATCTTGGGATGCGCTACCAGAGACTGAGGGGAAAGTGAAAGGTAGGAATCTCACTCCCTAAACTGTAAGATGCATTGATTCTGATGAACATGGCCTCTGCTTACGGCTTTGTTGACTGAAAAAGAAATAGGGAAGCAACATATGTCTAAGAGGTGCTCACCCAAGGGACGAGGATATTTCATGCAAGATTTTCATTGCCCAAGATCCAAGCAGTCACGAAAGTGACTATTCTTTTCATCCTCCTGTGAAGGCTTTTTGCTGTTGCTGTTGGGAAGGATGTTTTTCATTGCATGGGTGTGACAACATAACCTTTTCCCATCTGAACAACACCCTGGCTTCCATGCTATGGGTCTTTTCGTTGTGCTAGGAAGATCACGAAAGCAGGTGTCAGCAGGAATCCTGCAGAGCCATCAGTATCTTTCATGGGACCATAAATACATTTAATGGGTTTGAAAAACTCAAGTAATAATCGCTGGAAAATGGATTGATTCCCTATTTGTCACCATTTGTTTATGTATTTATTGATGTCAAGGAAAACATAACACCAAAATAGCAAAAAAACCTAGATATTTTAAAGAATAAAAATAGAGTAAAACATTCACAACTAGTTAAATTTTAAAATAGTCTGTTGAGAATACTAAATAAACATGAAAATCTTTTATTTTTAATGTAAAAGCGTTTAAGAACCTCTCAGAATCTGTTTGGAGACATTTTAAAGAGCCATGCTGAAGTTTTTCCTGGCACTGCCTATGCAAATGTACTCTAAGGGTAGGAAGGAATGGAGGTTTTATTCAAGAAAGAAATAATTTTTATTGTTATTAGATTGAGGGGCAACTTTAAGTCTAATATGTCCAGAAACTATGAAATGTTTGTGTAAGCTTAAAGAAATCCAGAAAATTACTACTAGTCTCCTTTGAGAATTTCTTAATTGAAAAAACTGAATGGTTCTCTTTTATATTCATCCAAAAGTTATGTTTGCTGACATGTAGGATGTCTTTTCTTGGAATAATAGAAGTTAAGGAAGGTCGATGTGGAACTGTATTTTCTATACTTCACGTTTTTTCACTTTTTTTTTTTAAAGAATAGATTGTACTATTCTTCTTTCTCTTTTTTTTTTTTTTTGCCATTGGAATAAATCCACAACCAGAGAAAAATATTAATTTGGTCCCTTTAAATCAGGGGTGTACAATCTTTTGGCTTCCCTGGGCCACATTGGAAGAAGAATTGTCTTGGGCCACGCATAAAATACACTAACACTAACGAAAGCTGATGAGCTTTAAAAAAAAGGTCCATGCATTAGTCTCATAATATTTTACGAAAGTTTATGAATCTGTGCTGGGCCTCATTCAAAGCTGTCCTGGGCTGCTTGCAGCCTGTGGGCCACAGGTTGAACAGCTTGCTTTAAATCATTCTTTTTACCACAATTTGAACTTTAACTCCCTCTGTATTAAGTATTGTTGTGCTGCCGAGAAGACCTCTGAAAATTGAATAAAGACTTTTTTTTTGCTAACTACTTTTTGTTAGTTAAAAAATGAAAAGGTAATTATTGCACCTCTGGTGACTTTATTCCCATGCTACTTATGTACTCTTCCTCTCTCCCTCATCTGAGTTGATATTTACAGTTCCTTGGCGAAAGAAGTTCCATGGTAGTCAATTAAATATTGCAGAAATAATAACAGATACTGAGTTTTTATGTCCAAAAGAACTCGCGTATCTTAAGCCTGCTTAGGTCGTTTTTGTAAGGGTGTAGTGGTGAGATTAAAATTAATAATTTTCTATGTACAAGAAATATAAAACGTAATAGAAGAATATACTTTGACAAGGCTAAATTTATTTTCCAGATGGATTTAATTTATTTTAAAATTTGAATCACAAATTTTTATAGACAATGGGTTCTCTTAATTCTTACTTTTGACCACCACAAATGACAAGTTTGTTGATTTTCAATGAGAAATGAATGCTGTTTTTTCCAGACAAATGCTGCAAAAGCATTTTTGGTTGAAACGTTTTTTTTTTAAATAAATATACTTTTTAAAGATTGGAGCTAAGGGAAAAGAAAAGATCATCCATGCTCCTGATAATTCTTGAATTTTCTGTGATTAAAGTTATTTTTCTTTGTTCCTACTCATTTCTTTTTCTTTTTATTTTATTTTTTGAGACATAGCCTCACTTCATTGCCCAGGCTGGAGTGCAGTGTGCAATCTCGGCTCACTGCAACCTCTGCCTCCAGGGTCCAAGTGATTCTCCTGCCTCAGCCTCTCGAGTAGCTGGGACCACAGGCACACACCACCATCACTGGCTAATTTTTGTATTTTAATAGAGACGGGGGTTTCACCCTGCTGGCCAGGGTGGTCTCAAACTTCTGACCTCAAGTCATCTGCCCGCCTTAGCCTCCCAAAGTGCTGGGATTACAGGCGTGAGCAACCATGCCCAGCCCCTACTCATATTAATTTGATGTTTTGTAAATCTTGGGTTCATTGAGAGGAAATAGGCATGACAGTTTTTAGTTGAAGGCAAAAATTATTTTTTAAAATATTATTCCCTTATGTTATAACATTTCCATGTGAGCATAAACATATTTTAGTTCCTTGAACTGAATTTGCTTTGGTTTTCCAAAATTCAGGGCTATTATGTGACTATAGAGCAAGCCAATTAAAGATGGAAACATTAGCTATCACATAAATCTATTACTTAACAACTTTTCTTCACAGCTCTAAAATACTGTGAAATATCTTTATCAGGATATACTAAGAACTTTTATAATTCCTACAAAAATGAAATTATATTTCAAATATGGAATTTTTCTGGCTAAATGTGCTAATAAAAATAACCCAGGTTAATAAAGTAAAACTCTTGAAGATGTCAGATGCTATTCAGGATCCATTCCTAGCAGTTGTCACTTCTTTTTCCTTAGTTTATTCTATCAGGACATATCAATCATAGCAAATTAGTAAATAAATACAATTTTAGAAACCCAACGGTGTGTAAATTTGGGGGGAATTGTATGAAGACTGGCCTCCTGGCTTTCATATGTTTAATTTGCCTAAAATGGTGAAGTGTCAGCTAATTAAATACATAGCCCTGTGTGGTTGCCCGAATGAATGTGAGTTCACCTTCTGCTGTGTCTTCATGCTCCAGCTGGTGACTTGGCGTGCATTGCTAGTGTATTAATTTTAGTAATGCACGTTCTAATTCGTCCTGCCCATACAGTCTGTCTGCTGGACACAGGACTGTTTTCAGTTTCCTCCTTCCAACCATCTGCCAAATCATTTCAGAATACATTCTTTCATACGCCCCGGCTCTCAAACCATTTGGAGCAAAGTCCCTCACCTATCCTGGAGACACTACTTCTGCCCTGGTGGATGGTCTGCAGCCTGGGGAACGCTATCTTTTCAAAATCCGGGCCACAAACAGGAGAGGCCTGGGACCTCACTCCAAAGCCTTCATTGTCGCTATGCCAACAAGTAAGCATTATGTGTCTGTGGCTGTCTTCTCTCTCTCTTCATTCCTGCTGTTTGTTTTGTGTTCCTTTGAATCATGCTCTTGGGTTTGGAACTGCTCAGCAGATGATTTTTCCAGGCTAAGTTGCATATTGATTTTTAAAATATTTTTGTGTTTCCTTTAGAAAT
Source organism: Homo sapiens (assembly GCF_000001405.40). NCBI lineage: Eukaryota > Metazoa > Chordata > Mammalia > Primates > Hominidae > Homo > Homo sapiens. Next base: position 159,230,169 of record NC_000006.12, read on the forward strand.
TAGTCTTCTCAAAGATTAAAATGTTATTGATTATTGATAACAGTTACTATTTCAGTATTATTAATGTATTAATTATATAATTAATCTGACATCATTATTTAACTTTAGGCTTGTGGTAACAGGGAAAGAACATTTTTACAAATGGTAGTGTGACATTTTTCATTGTCAGCTCTCTTCAATTTCTATGTAGCTTTAAAAATGTTTAGTTTGCAAAAGCAGAAAGGACAGGAGACGGGTGAGGGTTAAAAAAATTACCCACTGGGTACAATATTCACTGGCTGGGAGATGGGTTCACTGGAAGCCCAAGCTTCACCATGATGCAGTATATTCATGTGACAAACCTGCACGTGCAGCCCCTGAATCTAAAATTTAAAAATAAGATAAAAGTAAAATTTTTGGTTTGTATTCCATTATTTAGGAATGCAGCTGTACCCAGAAGGATTTCAGTTGTCTAGCTTACCTGATCGATATCCAAACCAAACAAGTTAATAAAGATCCACAACTGGAAGGGAGTGTTTTTGGACCATGTTTTCTTTTCTACTTCCTCACATTTATGCTGGATATTGGCGGCTTTTCCTTCATTATGTGCTATGAAGACCCATGGTAGACTGCAATATTAGACAATTTTGTCATGGAAAAATCTGTGAAATGGATGACATTTGCCCCTCCGGCACTCTCACTGCAATATAGGTTCCTCTCCCCTATAGAATCTCTTCCCTCAGTCAGTCTGCTCTGAAGACAGGGTGATTACAGTACATTTAATATAATGTTTGCCTATCCCAGGAGTTTTTTTTATTTTAAGCCTTATTTTAGAATTATAAATGTGTCCACTATTAATGGAATTTTAAACAAGAAGGAGGAAGCAGGTAAGGACATGCTATGGGAAGAGGGAAATTTTTGTACTGCCTTAAAAATTACAAATTGGGGCCGGGCGCGGTGGCTCACGCCTGTAATCCCAGCACTTTGGGAGGCCGAGGCGGGTGGATCATGAGGTCAGGAGATCGAGACCATCCTGGCTAACAAGGTGAAACCCCATCTCTACTAAAAATACAAAAAATTAGCCGGGCGCGGTGGCGGGCGCCTGTAGTCCCAGCTACTCGGGAGGCTGAGGCAGGAGAATGGCGTGAACCCGGGAAGCGGAGCTTGCAGTGAGCCGAGATTGCGCCACTGCAGTCCGCAGTCCGGCCTGGGCGACAGAGCGAGACTCCGTCTCAAAAAAAAAAAAAATTACAAATTGGTTGCTCGTCACACATTCCCCATCACTTTGAGTATAGATTATTCAGCAATTTGCACCAGGTGTATTCATGTTTCTTGTCTATTAAGGACAGCTATAATGCATTTGTAATACACTGACAATTAGTTTTATTAAGAAAATCCTATATAAGATTTTGCATTTATAAAATAAATGAGTTACTTCAAAGTACTCATTTCAGAATTTCTTCAAATAATAAGATGTGGCATAACCTGGTTCAATAGAGATTCAATTCACTTATATTTTCTAGGACTATATTTGTTACTTAAAGCAAAATATAAGTTTTAAAAAGAATGCTATCGTTGAGAAAACACGTTTCCAGTGTTCTAAGGAATTAGAAGTTAGCCATTATGACTACTGATTTGAAATGCCTCCATATGCTGTTTTAAATACTGTGTCTCACCTCCGCTTTCGCTTTTGAGTTTCTTCTTTGACAGGCAATTCTTTAAAATCTGTTGCAGCCAGTAAGGCGGATGTTGAGCAGAACACGGAGGACAATGGGAAACCCGAAAAACCTGAGCCTTCCTCACCTTCTCCCAGAGCTCCAGCTTCCTCCCAACACCCCTCTGTGCCTGCTTCTCCCCAAGGGAGAAATGCCAAGGACCTTCTTCTTGACTTGAAGAACAAAATATTGGCTAATGGTGGGGCGCCCCGAAAACCCCAGCTTCGCGCCAAGAAGGCAGAGGAGCTGGATCTTCAGTCGACAGAAATCACTGGGGAGGAGGAGCTGGGTTCCCGGGAGGACTCGCCCATGTCACCCTCAGACACCCAAGACCAGAAACGGACCCTGAGGCCGCCAAGTAGACACGGCCACTCGGTGGTTGCTCCCGGCAGGACTGCAGTGAGGGCCCGGATGCCAGCGCTGCCCCGAAGGGAAGGCGTAGATAAGCCTGGCTTTTCCCTGGCCACGCAGCCCCGCCCAGGGGCGCCCCCCTCGGCTTCGGCCTCTCCTGCCCACCACGCGTCCACCCAGGGCACCTCTCATCGTCCTTCCCTGCCTGCCAGCTTGAATGACAACGACTTGGTGGACTCAGACGAAGATGAGCGCGCTGTGGGCTCCCTCCACCCCAAGGGCGCCTTCGCCCAGCCCCGGCCAGCCCTGTCCCCCAGCCGCCAGTCCCCGTCCAGCGTTCTCCGCGACAGAAGCTCTGTGCACCCCGGCGCAAAGCCAGCCTCGCCGGCCCGGAGGACCCCCCATTCAGGGGCCGCAGAGGAAGATTCCAGTGCCTCAGCCCCACCCTCAAGACTTTCTCCACCCCATGGGGGATCATCTCGGCTGCTGCCCACCCAGCCACACCTGAGCTCTCCACTTTCCAAGGGCGGGAAGGATGGTGAGGACGCCCCAGCCACCAACTCCAATGCGCCATCACGGTCCACCATGTCCTCCTCCGTCTCTTCTCATCTCTCGTCCAGGACGCAGGTCTCTGAGGGAGCGGAGGCTTCTGATGGTGAAAGCCACGGTGACGGCGATAGGGAAGACGGCGGAAGGCAGGCGGAGGCCACGGCCCAGACGCTGCGGGCCCGGCCTGCCTCTGGACACTTCCATTTGCTCAGACACAAACCCTTTGCTGCCAACGGGAGGTCTCCAAGCAGGTTCAGCATTGGGCGGGGACCTCGGCTGCAGCCCTCCAGCTCCCCACAGTCGACTGTGCCCTCCCGAGCCCACCCCAGGGTTCCCTCTCACTCTGATTCCCACCCTAAGCTTAGCTCAGGTATCCATGGAGACGAGGAGGATGAGAAGCCGCTTCCTGCCACCGTTGTCAATGACCACGTGCCTTCCTCCTCCAGGCAGCCCATCTCCCGGGGCTGGGAGGACTTAAGGAGAAGCCCGCAGAGAGGGGCCAGCCTGCATCGGAAGGAACCCATCCCAGAGAACCCCAAATCCACAGGGGCAGATACACATCCTCAGGGCAAGTACTCCTCCCTGGCCTCCAAGGCTCAGGATGTTCAACAGAGCACAGACGCGGACACGGAGGGTCATTCTCCCAAAGCACAGCCAGGGTCCACAGACCGCCACGCGTCCCCTGCTCGTCCGCCCGCAGCACGGTCACAGCAGCATCCCAGTGTTCCCAGAAGGATGACACCCGGCCGGGCCCCACAACAGCAGCCCCCTCCTCCCGTCGCCACGTCCCAGCACCACCCGGGACCCCAGAGCAGAGACGCGGGTCGGTCACCTTCCCAGCCCAGGCTCTCACTGACCCAGGCCGGGCGGCCCCGCCCCACGTCGCAGGGCCGCTCCCACTCCTCCTCGGACCCTTACACGGCGAGCTCCAGAGGGATGCTCCCCACGGCCCTCCAGAACCAGGACGAGGATGCCCAGGGCAGCTACGACGACGACAGCACAGAAGTCGAGGCCCAGGATGTGCGGGCCCCCGCGCACGCCGCGCGCGCCAAGGAGGCAGCTGCGTCCCTTCCCAAGCACCAGCAGGTGGAGTCTCCCACAGGCGCAGGGGCAGGTGGCGACCACAGGTCCCAGCGCGGACATGCGGCCTCCCCCGCCAGGCCCAGCCGACCCGGCGGCCCCCAGTCCCGCGCCCGGGTACCCAGCAGGGCAGCGCCGGGGAAGTCGGAGCCTCCTTCCAAGCGGCCCCTGTCCTCCAAGTCCCAGCAGTCGGTCTCAGCCGAGGACGACGAGGAGGAGGACGCGGGATTTTTTAAAGGCGGGAAAGAAGACCTTCTGTCTTCCTCTGTGCCAAAGTGGCCCTCTTCCTCCACTCCCAGGGGCGGCAAAGACGCCGATGGGAGCCTCGCCAAGGAAGAGAGGGAGCCTGCCATCGCGCTTGCCCCTCGCGGAGGGAGCCTGGCTCCTGTGAAGCGACCTCTCCCCCCACCTCCAGGCAGCTCCCCCAGGGCCTCCCACGTCCCTTCCCGACTGCCGCCTCGCAGCGCTGCCACCGTGAGCCCCGTCGCGGGCACCCACCCCTGGCCGCAGTACACCACGCGCGCCCCACCTGGCCACTTCTCCACCACCCCGATGCTGTCCTTGCGCCAGAGGATGATGCATGCCAGATTCCGTAACCCTCTCTCCCGACAGCCTGCCAGACCCTCTTACAGACAAGGTAGTTTATTTTTTCAAACAGTCTTTCTTTAAGGTGTTCAGTGGTGTTCATGGCAATGCCTAAGAAGTTTTTATTCTATTGCATTTAGCACCTACTATGTCCACGCACCGTGTTAAGAGCTTTGCACATGTGACATAATTTCATCCTCTGAACGGTCCCTAGGGTTTGCATTGTTATCCCTGTTTTCCAGATGCAGAAGCTGCGGCTCAGGATCTGAGGGGCTTGCCCTAAGGCAGACACCTCAGAGTTGCCATTCCAATTCCAAATGGCCTAATTTCACAGCCATTACTAACCCACATTGCCTCTAATTCCACAGTCTTTTCACTGTCCTACATTGCCTCTTTGAATTCTTTGGCATACACTCTTAACCTGTGAAAATGTGTCACAACCATGATGCCCAACTCAGGTTCTTCTTAGTTGTTCAAGTGCCGCCATGTGTTTAAGGGATCCATAGAAGCTGGTTAGATACATATGTAGGCTTATCTTGTTCTTGTCTTTATCTTGTTCTCATCTTCTGCATGCAAAACTCTCAACCAAACAAACCCTGAGACAAACTCAGATATCTTGGGTATGAATTGCTCAGACAGTGCAATTAGTGCATGTTGTCTAAAACCTCCAGAAAATGTATGTTAAAGATCATTGTCACAAAGAGGAGTTACAGGCAGATGTGTGCTTTGTATTTCTATAACAGAGGGTTGAACAAAGTCCGCTATGAACTGGAATTTATGTCCAGGGCAGGGTCCGAGGCATTTACCATAAATTTGCATTCAGTTAAATGGTGCTTTAAACCCTCCTTGTATGTAATTGGGGCTTTATAGAACATTCTTGAATGAATGTATTTTTTTTTTTTGCAGATCTGTACAATGCATTGTTATTTTAGCCCAATGTAAAGACATAGAACAATGCCCCATATCAAACTCAGTTTTCCACTAAGATTGACTGTTTTAATCAAACCTAGCACCCTGAGAGTAGATGTAAAACTCAACGTTCCCTTGTATATAGCAGGAACTCCATAAATATTTAATAAATAAATGAAGGAATGAGAGAAATAAGTGTCTGACCTGCGAGTAGCGGTCAGAAAGCCCAAGCACTTTGCCGAGCGGTCAATGCTGGACCAGAGTAGACTGGAGCTGATGAGAAACATCTCCATGTGAGGCAGAGACAGACAGAAACAACAAGTGTAAGGGTGCTGCTGCATCTTCTTACTGTCTGAGCAAATACTTCTCAAGCAGCCCCACAGCGTTCAGCAAGCTTTGAGACAGCATTGTGCTTTTATACTCGGCGATTGGTGATTGGGACCTGAGTCAGCTGGGAATAGCTGTGTTTAGTTTAACATCCCCAGAAAAGTGGGACAGCATCTAGTACATTTTAGACATAATTTTCTCTATCCTTCCAATCCTTCCTTCCTCCAACTTCCACATGGCTAAAATAAAGCTACAGCTACTAAGATCTTAAGTTTTCTATGGCAAATTTACTTATGCCACACACTCTCATTCCCACAGTATTGTCAGAAAGCTGTGACTTTACTGTATTCTTAATTGACATTCATATCTGTTGTGGAGAAGTCATAATTTGAGACTATCATTATCTAATATATTTGAGCTATTGGTTTAAAATTCTGTTTAGAGCTTCTATTTGAAATGATGTGTCACTACTAATAGTTTGGTATGAAGCCAACTTCCCGGGCATGTTGAATTTACCAGGCTCTGTTATTTTTATTTTTGGTACTGTGTAGGTTATAATGGCAGACCAAATGTAGAAGGGAAAGTCCTTCCTGGTAGTAATGGAAAACCGAATGGACAGAGAATTATCAATGGCCCTCAAGGAACAAAGTGGGTAGGGTAAACTTCTTTACACATCCCCGTTGTTTTCATGCTGTTGAGAAGAGAAAAATGGTGGACATTGTGTAATGATAAATGAAGTGGTCTTTGTTTGTTCTTCTTCTCTAGTTTTAACTACTTATATGTACTTGTATAGAGTTTATTTTAATACTCGGAAAAATCTGTGGTTCTCCTGGTAACTAGCTTGTTTTCTTCTCATAGCCAAGATAAGGCATGGGCCTTCGTTTTTCATTTGCCTTGACTGGTTAGGAAGGTCAAATGAATGCATGGCCCAACCATAGCAATTATAGACCCAATGGATGGCCGTTCAAAGGAACTTATATTTTCCCTGTCCTGGTAGCTTCATTTTATTTTTAGGTTTTGTTTATTGTTTGATTAAACATTACACATATTTTCTGTAAGTCATCTCAAATCCTTTCTCAAAGGACACAGGGTAAAAATAAACAAACAAAAAACCCTGAATGATACTGGAAATTTTTATTAGATCATCTTTTGAATCTTCCAACAAGTGTTGGACTAAAATTATGTATTAGTATTTCATGTATGTCTAAACAGCTTTAATTGCTTGGGGTTAAGATAAATGTTTAGGAGGTTTTGGTGGGTTGAGGGTAACAGAACACTTTACAATATTCAGGAATTTAAAGTACTTTTTCTAAGAATAAAAAAATTATTTATACTGTAATTCCCAACCAAAACTTCCCATTTATAATGATAAGGTTTAGGGAAATGTACTAAAAGACTATGACATTTTCAGTCATAGGTGATCTAAAGATGCATGTTATCATTTCTTAAAGGAAGAGAAATTTATAGTAGGAAGAATGCACATTAAAGCAAAATGCTATTGCAAACAATTTTGAATGGAAACAGCATGGGGTAGATTTCAAAATAGAGTTTATATAAATTTTATTTTAATGCCAAAACAATACCCACCAAAGTGGCTTGCTTGCAGGGCTTCCTCCAGTAGCCTGAGTGTCTAAAGCAGTGGTTCTCAAACTTAAGCCAGCTCAGGATCACTGAGGATTTTGTCAAATACAAGTCTCGGGTAGGGCTGGGTGATTTGAGTATCTGACAAGTTCCTATGTGATGCTGAGGCTTCAGGTCCAGGACCATGCTTTGAGAACCACCAGCAAAGAGCACGAGCTTGTTCCTTAATAGAGATAATTATAGCTTTCTTCAAGTTTTACAGTTCCTTAGAATGTGACGTTTTCTGCATGCATACTATATTAGGCAACGTGATTACAAATTATATTGTTTTTGTTACAGCAACTTTGATTTTTAACATTAACAGCAAAATGGAAAGATTTTATGTCTTTAATATGCTAGCAATTCACATTCATTGCAAGAAGTTAAAACAATTCATATTGAAATATATGAAACAGAAAATAAACATTCTTCACCCAAACTACTTCTCAAAGATAACCACTGTTAACCATTTGCGGTATAACCTTCCATAATTTTTTTCTCTGCAGTTTTAAGCTTATATATGCAAATGGATATATCTTTATTTTTGCAAAATAACCAGCCCTGTAATCTGAGTTCACATATACGTAGAACGTATGTAGAATTGTCTGCATAATATTCTACCACATGGATGGGCCACAAATTATTTAATCTCTTCCCTCAACTGAGAGACACATTGTTTCCTTCTTTCCAGCATTAGACACAATGTACTTAATGGTAAAAATATTTTGAACATCTTTTGTGATTTGAGAAACTTAAAACAATTTACATGTTATATGGGTAAGCAATTATAATATGAAAGATGACTGTTTTGTACTTTTTTTTTTTTTTTTTTGAGACGGAGTCTTGCCCTGTCACACAGGCTGGAGTGCAGTGGCGCGATCTCGGCTCACTGCAGGCTCTGCCTCCTGGGTTCACGCCATTCTCCTGCCTCAGCCTCCTGAGTAGCTGGGACTACAAGCGCCCGCCACCGCGCCTGGCTATTTTTTTGTATTTTTAGTAGAGACGGGGTTTCACCGTGGTCTCGATCTCCTGATCTCGTGATCTGCCCGCTTCGGCCTCCCAAAGTGCTGGGATTACAAGCGTGAGCCACCGCGCCCGGCCTGTACTTTACTTTTTAAGACTTTATGAATGATATTGACAAAAAGAATGTCTTCTACTCACATTACGGTTTCCTTCTGTGGAAGCTTCAGGGGTATATACATATATAATTGGACTAATGTGATCATTTCAAAATGTCCAATATATTCTTTAATCTATGTCATGGATTTAGGTTGTGGACCTTGATCGTGGGTTAGTATTGAATGCAGAAGGAAGGTACCTCCAAGATTCACATGGAAATCCTCTTCGGATTAAACTAGGAGGAGATGGTCGAACCATTGTAGGTAAGGGAGAATGGTTTTTAAAGAATAAAAGCCTACTGAATTAGCCATAGAATTACAGCTTCTATCTTCCTTCTCCCCCTCATTTATAATGAATGGTCATGGGTTAGTTACTTTTACCCATGTGAGAAGAAGAGCCTCAAAAGAGGCAGAACTTGGTGTTTCCCCCAGAGAGCGTTAGTTCTCTTCCTGCAGGCTGCACCCTCTAGAAAATGTGGCCCTTTACTTTGTTCTTAAATTGGCCCTTTCAGAGGAGGGGTCCGCAAACTACAACCTGTAGGTTGTAGCCCACTACCTATTTTTGTAAGACCCATGAGCTCAGAATAGTTTTTACATTTTTAAATGATTGCCAGAAAAAAGAATATTTTGTGGCATGGTAATTACGTGAAATGCACATTTCAGTGTCCATACGCAAAGTTTTACTGGAACACAATACACTCACTTAATTATGCACTGTCTAACTCATTTTTTATGTGTTGTTTATGTATTGTCTATCTTCTTTTTTGCACTCTAAAAGCGGATTGAGTAGCTGCAATAGAGACCATACGGCCTATGAGGCTTAACATATTCGCTTCCTGGCCCTTTACAGAAGAAGTTTTCCACCTTTAATCCAAAGTAACACTTTTCCCCCTTAGGCATAGGAATGAGGCAAAGGAAAGTATTTCTTCCTTTGCTAGACACAAGAGTTATCTCAGGATCGTGGAGCATACTGATGCAATATTCATTTATCCCTTTGCCTTTTACTGATTAAAACATGATAATACATAAGCTTTGAGAAGACACTTATTGCTTGCTTTTTATTTTCTCTGGATTGCTTCACCTTGTTGCATAGCTATTGGTTGATTTTGTTTCAGATCTGGAAGGGACCCCCGTGGTGAGTCCTGACGGCCTCCCACTCTTTGGGCAGGGGCGACATGGCACACCTCTGGCCAATGCCCAAGATAAGCCAATTTTGAGTCTTGGAGGAAAGCCGCTGGTGGGCTTGGAGGTCATCAAAAAAACCACCCATCCCCCTACCACTACCATGCAGCCCACCACTACTACGACGCCCCTGCCTACCACTACAACCCCGAGGCCCACCACTGCCACCACCCGCCGCACGACCACCACCCGCCGCACGACCACCAGGCGTCCAACAACCACAGTCCGAACCACTACGCGGACAACCACCACCACCACCCCCACACCCACCACTCCCATCCCCACCTGTCCCCCTGGGACCTTGGAACGGCACGACGATGATGGCAACCTGATAATGAGCTCCAATGGGATCCCAGAGTGCTACGCTGAAGAAGGTAACTGCCTTTGTTCTAATGCTAACTACTTACCAGGCACACTAGCACGCCGCAACTCAGAGCAGGGTGGCAGAGCCTGCAGGGGAGGTATGAGCACCGTGCACAGCAAAGCAGCAACCCGATGCATTTTTGGTCCCAGCAGGTTTGTTTGACAGTACCATGCCACAGCTAAGGTTGGAAGACTTAGCAAATAAAAATATTACATGGGACATATTTATATGAAAAAAATTATTTCCTGTTCACTTAAAGTCAGATTTAACTGGGCATCTTTTGTTTACTTGGTGATGCTTATCACAACCCAAGTCAAGAATTTAGCTGAAACTTGTGACATTATTTGTTTGGACTAGCATTTCCCAAAGTGTGTTCCAATGGATATTGTAGATTAGTGGTTGTAATATATATGTATATACTTAAAAGGTTCTGTGATTAGCTATGTGATTTAAACAAGGTTGGATAAGTTTCTTACTGTTGTAATACTTAGATCACTGAATAGTCTTGTTGAGAATCTCCAAGAAAAGGAATGTTTCCCTAGCATGTTCGGCAGCTGAGCACTTTTTTGATCAGCCCTCCTTTGGAGAATGCCAATCCTCATGTAGCTGGGCTTCCTGTGGGAGTGTGGGCTTTCCACTGGGTAAGAATGCACCATTTTCCCTTCTCTGCTGATCTGCACTATCCTGCCGCCCCTGATGTAAGTCTGTCTTCCTTCTGAAAATGGCTTGTTCTCCCTGAAGAGCAGGAGCTAGGAGACCTTTATCCAGGTCATCGTGGAGCCCGTATATCAATATATCTCCATCTTTTCTGCTCAGTCCCCTGCTCAAGCTGCTTTGGAAGAAGTCATTCTAGATTTGCATCAGGCATGGAGGAGAGAGATTCATCTTCTTTCCCTCAGTTTGAAATGAATTGCAATGTCAATTATAAAGCTTAAGTCTTTTTAAACCAAGGCAGAGTGAAGATGTTTCCTTTCAGGAATCAAGCTGGAATTCTTATGCAACGTTATTGACTATGATAAGCCCAATCAGTTTGAACATGAATACTGTATCCAAAATGGGAATTCTGTTGGAAGTTAGTCTTTCCGTGAAAAAGTTACAAATAAACAGGAAAACTTGACACATCTAAAAAATTCACACCAAAAAAACATGGAAACACGTACAGAGGGAGAGGAACAATGGGAAGAAAATTTCTACTCTGTCCATTGACCCAGTGAGTATAAATTTGAATTTACCTTTGAATTTCTAGTATTGACATCTGACCTCTGCATGCATTAATGTGTTTAATTTTAAAGACTGAAATATAATTAAAACATAATTAGTAATTGGTCGTAAACAAAAATTGACTATTTTGGATTTGATTTTAATTACGGCTGCTATTATTTCACATTTTATTTTGTCTGCTTTTATTTAGGCCTTCCAACATGTTCTCTTCATCTACTTTATATTTTTGGACTTTTATTTGGCATGAAAGTCAATATTTTTCCTGGCATTTTTGCCTCTTATTTTCTTTGCAAATCATAACATATATATGTTCACTCCTGTCCAGTCTCCTGATTCCCTAGTCGAAGCTAAAGAATAATTTTCCTCTGGACAGCATTTGAAAATAAGTACAAATCAATACACAGTCTTATGGAAAAGTTAAATGTGGGGACAGTAACATATCATCCTCATATCGCATTTTAATGCACTATAATTTGTTAGTTTAAAAAGACTTCCATATGCCCTTTCTTATTTCTACTGTTTCACTAACAACTTCATTAAACATTTTCTTCTTTATTAACTGTAATCATAGTTATTTTTATCTTTTAATCTTTTTAAACCACTTTCTTGATGTATGCATAGAAAAAGTTCTGCATATTTAATCCATACATGTCGATGAGTTTGGGATAAGAATACATTCACAAAATCATCATCCCGCTAAGGCCACAGACACATCCATCACCTCCCAAAGTTCCCTCCCACTCCCACTCCTTTATTGTTAGTATTCTTCTTTTTTCTTTCTTTATAGTAAGAGCACTCACCATGAAAGTGGTATTTTTTTGTGATAAGAAATTAAATTTTTACTATTACAAAGATACATGCACATGTATGTTCATTGCAGCACTATTCACAATAGCAAAGAGATGGAGTCAACCCAAATGCCCATCAACGATAGACTAGATAAAGAAAATGTGGTCCATATACACCATGGAATACTATGCAGCCATAAAAGGAATGAGATTATGTGCTTTGCAGGGACATGGATGGAGCTGGAAGCCATTGTCCTCACCAAATTAACACAGGAACAGAAAACTAAACACCGCATGTTGTCACTTGTAAGTGGGAGCTGAACAATGAGAACACATGGACACAGGGAGGTGAACAACATACAGTGGCGCCTGTCAGAGGGTCAGGTAGGGGAAGAGAGAGCATTGGGAAAAATAGCTAATGCATGCAGGGCTTAATACTTAGGTGATGGGTTGATCTGTCCAGCAAACCACCATGGCACATGTTTACCTGTGTAACAAACCTGCACATCCTGCACCTGTACCCCAGAACTTAAAAATAAAAATTAAAAAAAGAAATTAAATTTTAAAAATGTATTAATACTAGCTCTGTTGAGATAAAATTCATATACCATAAAGTTCATTCTTCTAAAGTTAGTGGATGTTAATATATTTACAGTTGTGCAATGATCACCACTATTAGATTCCATAATATTTTCATCACCCCAGGAGAAACTCCGTACTCATTAGCAGTCAGCCCTCATTCCTCCCTCCTCCCAACCCATGGAAACCACTAACATACTTTCTCTCTCTATGGATTTACCTATTTGGGACATTTTGTATAAATGGAATCATGTCATATGTGGCTTTTTGGGTCTGGCTTCTTTCACTTAGCATAATTGTTTTCAAGATTCATTCACATTATAGAATACATCAGTACTTCATTTTTTTTATTCCATTGTATGGATATACAGCATTTTTTCCATTCATCAGTCAGTGGTCATTTGGGTTATTTCCACTTTTTGGTTATTGTGAATAATGCTGCCTTGAACATTTGTTTTGTTTGTTTGGTTTTGTTCTACTTGATCTGACTTCTCTGTTGGATAATAAACTCCTTGCAGTTGAGACAATGTCTTCTGCTTCATCTCTAATTCCTTGTGGTACCTAAGTATGTACCTTTGGATATCCAAGCAAGACCTTAAGGTATAGGCATTTTCCATGTCCTAAAAGCCAGTGCTCTTTTTTTTTTTCAGGTTCTGTATCTACAGCAAATCTGATAATAGATGATATATATGGAATGTGATGAGCCAAATGAACATCTTCAAGAATTTGTAGCATGACCTTGTTAAAAGTTGCAGAAAAACATCAGTCATTATGGAAAACAGATCTTCCCCACCACAGCTGGGTCTCCAGATAGAAAATACTGAGAAATTCAAAAATTCATTTGAGCTGGACCAACTGTACAATGTGCAAATATCCCTGAGTTTCAAATGGCTGTCATTTACCTTCTGTCTCTAAACTTCTACTGAGAATAATTTTTAAAAATATTTTGTAATATCTCTGGAGCAAAAGCCTTACTTCTTTGGTGACATTTTTCACTTATTTTTTTCATGTCTACTTGATAAACTACTGAAGAGAATAAACAAAACGACTATGGTTGATGGCTGGCAACTATGTTTATGTGAAGAGGCTGAAGCTTTTCACATTGGTGCTGAGTTGACTTGTAAAATATCCAGTTTTACATAGTTCTGAATGGTTTAAAATGACATTCAGGTGGGCCAAAGTAAGGTGGTCAACTTTTTTTTTTAATTGTAAATATATTTCATTACATCTGAAAGTTATTTTTACTTGGAGCCAGGATGGTTCTATTTTAGAAAAATTATGCCTATGTTTATTTGGTCTTAAGAAAAAGAACACCAAAATCACCCAGTAGATTGTTTACTTAATGCCAGAGGACTTAACTGTCACTCATCTCAGGAAGTGAACTCATTTGCTGGTAAAAGCATCATTTCTGTGGCCTGCTGCATGCACTGGAGTATTTCAGCACCTCAAGGAGTTACCCATAACACCAGAGTCCATGAAGGAAATGATATACTTTTCCCTTTTCTTGTTCACCCTGTGATGCAAAAACCTTACAATGTATTTATTTTTTATCTGGCGAAAAGCAATAATGAAAAGAAATGACACTGAACTGATAATGAGGAAAAGCAAGACGACATTCCTAAAGGTTAAATTGACAAGGGAAAGAAAATGGTAGGCCAGGAAACAATGGCAAGATAATCCCAAAGTTTACAGGGTGTGAACCTGAAAACTGATTTGAATAAGCTCAGAAGTAATTTGTCTTGGATCCCAGGTATATTGACATTGGAATGACCAAAGGAAAGTTTGTGTTTAATACTTTTTCATGAAATGGCCATTCCACCCCTAAACGGATGGATAATTTACAACTTCTCTCTGCTTAACATTCATTGGCTGCATCAGAACACACCAGAGTCATTGCCTCAAGGGCCATCTCTTGGGCCTCAGAATAGGAGCTGGGGGCTTCTTACTGTGATCCCAGGAGGGCTGGACAGACTACTCGAGGTTGCCATTGCCCTTTGTGGGTGGAGTTTGTTTTTACAATGTAATATTCATGTCATTCAAACTAGGCTAAAAAGGCTGGTAGAATAATGACATAGGAGTTTATATACCTTCTACTTCAATTTCCCCTTAATTACACTGTGGAATGGTGATTTTAATAGAGCATCTTCATATTTACAAATAATTTTATTGGTTAGTTCAACTTTTAAGAAGTGGGGGCAGTTTTATGTAGTATAAAGTAAGTAGTCTTTGGAGCCAGAGTACCTGAAGTTCACATTCTCTTTTTGCTGTCTTTTACCATCTGCATGTCTCAGGCATGCTGTAAATCCTCCCAGAGCCTTGGTGTCCTTGGCTGATGTATTAGTCCGTTTTCATACTGCTATAAAGATACTACCTGAGACTGGATAATTTATAAAGGAAAGAGGTTTAATTGACTCACAGTTCTAAATGGCTGGGGAGACCTCAGGAAACTTACAATCATGGCAGAAGGGAAAGCAGGCACATCTTACATGGTGGCAGGCAAGAGAGAGAGAGTGAGAGCGAGAACGAGAGAGCAAGTGTGCAGGAAAAACTACCATTTATAAAACCATCAGATCTCGTGAGAATTTACTCACTATCATGAGAACAGCATGGGGGAAACTGCCCCCATAATCCAATCACTTTCCACCAGATCCCTCCCTGGACATGTAGGTATCATGGGGATTATAATTTAAGATGAGATTTGGGTGGGGATACAGCCAAACCATATCAGCTGAGAAGTGGGTATTTATAAGCTCAATGTATCTCAAGCGTTTGTTGTGAAATTATATATACATAAAAGTGGCTGATACACAGAAGACATCTGGGAAATCATCCACTAGTCACTTCTTCCTGTTTTCCCCACCTTGCCCCCTTTTGAGGGTGCATTAAGTTTAGAGAGTTCTATTTAATTGCTGTGGGCTTCAGGTCAAAGGGAGGAAAGGAATTCCTACAATTTTTTTTTTAGCTATAAAACCTTTTGCCTCAAGATTTTATCAGCTACAGTGAGATGTTCTCCTTTTTACAGCTACATCTGTATCTCCCAAGTAGAGAAATAGTATAATCAATTCCATCACATCTTTCCCAAAAGACTTCTGCTTAAACTACCCTGATAATGGAGGTGAAGATGCCTTTTATGCTTAAATCACTCACCTTTCTTAAATCACTCATATGTTACTTATGCTCATAATATCAGTTTAGTCATTATGGTAATTTTTTTTTTTTTTTTTTTTTTTTGAGACGGAGTCTCACTCTGTCACCCAGGCTGGAGTGCAGTGGCTTGATCTCGGCTCACTGCAAGCTCCACCTCCCGGGTTCACGCCATTCTCCTGCCTCAGCCTCCCGAGTAGCTGGGACTATAGGCGCCCACCACGACGCCCGGCTAATTTTTTTTTTGTATTTTTTTAGTAGAGACGGGGTTTCACCAGGTTAGCCAGGATGGTCTCGATCTCCTGACCTTGTGATCCGCCCGCCTCGGCCTCCCAAAGTGCTGGGATTACAGGCGTGAGCCACCGTGCCCGGCGTCATTATGGTAATTTTAATAGTTCTTCTAACCAGGGTTTCCTGGCTTTTCCAAAAATCACATCTGAAATTTTATATTACATTTAAAGTATAATTCTGTAGTCAAAATAGATCTATTGGTTAGTACAGCCCAATCTGTAAAGGGAAATTTGCAATGATTGGCATATGTTTCCAAATTTCCTATGCAAATTAAGAAATCTGATTTATCTCCTGAGTCAGTGAGAGTGGGTGGGAACTCAGTAGGAAGTGGAGAAGCACAAGGAACTCTCATTGGTAGAGTTTGCCAAGTTGGGATGTAGAAGAGGTAGGAAATTACCCTCTTCTAGAATATTCCAGAAGCAAGATGGAGGAGGTGGAGGAATGAAGACTGATGAACAGGGGAGTTCACATGTGAGGGGCTTTTTGTCACCATCCTGAGCACCAACCGCCCACTCTCTTCTGTCTCTCGTGACTGCTTCCTGAGAGCGCCTGCTGTGGCATGAGGGGCCAGGGGCCTTCCCTCAGCATCAGAGCCCTGCAGGCATGCGGGCGAGTGGGCTGAGGTGGTGGGAGGGAGGTGAGAGAGAGCTTGGTGGTGCTGAGGAGTCTGGGAACGTGGAGTGGGGTGTTTGCTCCTAATGGGGCAGGCATTTGTATCGCCCTTTCCTGGGCCCAAAGGAGAGAAAGTCTGGGTTCCATTTCAGTGCTTTGATGATTTTCCTCCTGAAAAAATTATGGAGACCCTGGCCTTGGGGACTTGTTTTCATGACCTGCTTGAGGTGAATGAATTGTCACGCTCTGGGGCCTGCTTCTGAGAGAACCCTGGAGAAGGAGCGCTGGATGACTGGTCCTTTTCTCTGTCCTCACTAGATGAGTTCTCAGGCTTGGAGACTGACACTGCAGTACCTACGGAAGAGGCCTACGTTATATATGATGAAGGTACAAACTGGCTTTTGAAAAATTATTTGCACACTTTCTTTCCTAATCAAAGGATCTGATTGTAACTATTGAGTGGATGATCTTGATGGAAGTTTCCTTTAGAGCTTTGGGCCGGTGGCAATGCCGAGGGCTGGCTTAGGGAAGGGTGGTTGTACCCCACGCTTCCTTGTCACTCCCAAATGCATATTTGATCTAAGAAAAACAGTGTGCTTAACACGTAGATGCAGCTTCCTATCTGGTCCCTGTGCTCCCCGTTCCCTCCCTCCCCACCCTCCTTGGACCCAAGGAATTCTGGAGTTATCCATCTGGGCTCCCCTTCAACCTTTATTTATAAAACTTACTTGTTTAACCAAGTCCAACTTCCTTACTTGGCTCTTCTCTTTCTTATTCCTTTCTTTTCTCTCCTTTTCTAATTACATAAAATATGTGATGCTTAGATCTGTTGATTTCTTATCATAGAATCTTTTCAAGGGTAGGTTTGTAAGATTAGGATCAGAGGCCGGCCGCAGTGGCTCAAGCCTGTAATCCTAACACTTTGAGAGGTCAAGGAGGGAGGATAACTTGAGCCCAGGAGTTCAAAAGCAGCCTGGACAACATAACAAGACCCTATCTCTACAAAAAATTAAAAAATTAGCCAGGTATGGGAGCACACACCTGTAGGTCCAGCTACTTGAGAGGCTGAGACAGGTGGATTGTTTTCAGCCCAGGAGTTCGAGCTATGATGGCACCACTGCACTCCAGCCTGGGTGAGAGAGCAACACCCCATTTCAAACAAAAAAAACACTTTTTTTTTAAGGTTAAGAATACAAAGTGCCTTGGACAGCATCTGGGAGAGTCATTCAATAAGTGGTAACTAGTGGTATTATTACACTTAGGACCTTGTGATTGTTTTGTGTGATTTGGAAGTTGCCTCTGCAGTTGAAGAAGTTCTTAAAGGAATCTTGTCCACACCCAGTGCCGGCCTTTGACACCAGGGCTCAGGATTCTCACTTTTGAGGTCCACCTTTTCTGCAATTATTCATAGCTCTAATTGTCTTAAATCACAACTGTGCAAACAATGTCACCTTTGATGTGTTATTTATTCATAATAAAGCTCGATGTAGTGGTTTAATCCCAAGGTTTTCAAACAAAAACTGACTTAAAAGAAAAACAGCAGATGTTAGAAAGCAAACGAAGATTTTTTTAGCACCTTTGAAAATACTAAGCATCTTTCTTATCTTTGAACAGTTTGAAAAAGGGGCAGTTTTATTTTCTTTTTCAAATGTTAAAGGATTAGTTGTCTTGGCAGGATTAATCCCACCCCCCATGCCCAGAAAAAGTTCATACATGGGAGAAAAAAGAATTTTTTTTTTTTTGAGATGGAGTCTCGCTCTGTCTCCAGGCTGGAGTGCGGTGGCGTGATCTTGGCTCACGGCAACCTCTGCCTCCTGGGTTCAAGTGATTCTTTTGCCTCAGCCTCCTGAGTAGCTGGGACTACAGGTGTGCGCCACCATGCCCAGCTAATTTTTGTATTTTTAGTGGAGACGGGCTTTCACCATGTTGGCCAGGATGGTCTTGATCTCCTGAACTTGTGATCCGCCTGCCTCGGCCTCCCAAAGTGCTGGGATTACAGGTGTGAGCCACCACACCTGGCCAAAAAAAAATTTTTAAGAAAAAACTTCAAGTTTATTTTTTGATGTTACCTTTTATTCTCTAAAAGGGAACATTATGCAGGTAGAGCATGGCTTTGGGCCAGTGCCATGAGCTACAAGGCTACAGTGGATGGATTCTAAGGTTCTCTCCAGCTCTGAGTCTAAAACCCCATTTTTCTGGTCATATGTGTTTCTTTTTGCCCTTTCTTTCTTCTGTCTGCAGCTTCTTTTCTGCAGGGACAGAAATGGGAAGAAATAGTATTTTAGTAGAAACAAATTACGTTTGGGCATAGCATTTATTTTAGGGTGTGTGTGTGTGTGTGTCTGTCTGTCTGTCTGGGTTTCAGCCTACAGTTGAATGTAAGAAGGTATCATTTGACTATAGACAGTGCTCCTTTTCTGGCAGTGCCCAATTACAGAGCCTTCATATCATTTCAGATTATGAATTTGAGACGTCAAGGCCACCAACCACCACTGAGCCTTCGACCACTGCTACCACACCGAGGGTGATCCCAGAGGAAGGCGCCATCAGTTCCTTTCCTGAAGAAGAATTTGATCTGGCTGGAAGGAAACGATTTGTTGGTAAATATAATGTCCTTAATCAGAGAAACATGGGTTTTTAACTTGTGGTCTTTGAAGAAAAACATTACTAATCTTTTGGCCTCGCCAAGGCAGTGCATTTTGAGAAGTTTTTCCAGAATGAAGTTTCCACTGGGGATAATTGAGTGAGTCAGTCTTATGTAGATATGTATTATTTTGCTTTCTGCCAAAATCAGAAGAGGGGAGGATTTGGTGTCCAACAGAGAGAGCTGAGAGAGACTGCCTTGCATAGACTAAGAGTAAGAAACACTTAAAAACCATCTGGACCAGGGAACATGAGTGTTTTTATTGTAGCCAGTTTTTCTACGACAAGACTTACCACTGGGCCTTGTGTGTGTACTGTCTGTTAAATTCTTCCTAAAAGGTTAGCCGCTTACTGAATTGAGCCACTAGTGCCTATAATGTCATGAAGGGGAAGCTTTTTTCTTTAGTTATTTCCTATCACTTTCATTAGCTTCAAGGATTTGGGATCTAGAAATTCATTTTACTCTTCTTTCTCAGTAATTAAAACAGTTTCAATAGGAAATTCTGTGAAACTAAACTGCATTAAGTCTTGCAAGTCTTCTTTTCCCATGCCCTTAATGAACCTCATTAATGAGACAGCTGGATTAATATATTACTAAGTGGAGACAAGCAACAGCTTAAACTAATATCACACTTTTCTGTTTCCAAAACAACTGTTCTGCCATGAGCAGAGAACAGCTCTTGCTAGCCAAGATGTAGTGACTGAGTGTCTAAACCACACGTACTTGAAGAACAAGAATATTAATTTGAGGTGGCGTTCCTGAGGCAGACACTAACACGGGTCTCTGGCATGCAGCTGCCAGGCTGCGTTTACCACATGCGCTGACTTCTCTCCCGGCAGTTCCATGACGGGAATTGAAATGCTTTCTGTGGTATTATTAGCTGTTCCACAGAACTCCTCTAAACGCTAAAGGCTTACTATTGTCTGGCTCTTTTCATAAGTCTACAACTCTCTAAAGCATAGGAGCCCACTCCCCAAACTTCCTGATAAGACCCATGGACAAGTTCTAAAGGCCTAGCTTCAGACTAATTTTTGGAAAACACTGCCTTAGCTGTGTCCCAGGGACTCTGTATCTTTGTTCTCATTAGTTACAAAGAACTTCTTGACTTCTGCCTTAGTTTCATTATTTGCCCAAAAGTCAAATAGAGAAACTAAAAACTGCATTCAGTCCAAATAGCCAATGAGAATGACAACCTAGCACCAAAAGATACAGTGGAATCTTCAGAAATTGCCAGACATTGTTACTGGACATCACTTGAGAGTTTTGCATATATAAAGCCCCAATCCCAAGTCCTTGGCATTTCTAATTTAGTGGGATATAATAGAAAGAGTTAAGGGCTGGGGGTGACAGCCTGCTATCTGATCCTTGCATAGTGGGTACTCTCAGCGTTGGCAGGCGAGATGGTAACATGAGGCCATCGGTTCATATCCTGCCTTACTCCCAGGACCATGTATCCCCTGAAATAAAGTATGTAGAAAAATCTTCAGCCATCTGTAAATGTGAGTAGCTATTGTTATACTGAGTAGTAATGTTGTAGACAGTAGTTCAGGCCGGGCCTTATGCACAGATGCTCCAGATTGTTGTGGTGGTTTATGAAGCTCTAGGGAAGGCCACCCAGGGTTGAAGCTAAAGGCTGCATATCTTGATCAGTATAGATTTTTTCCTGGTCCCAAGATAGTCAAGGAAATGAACTGTGTTGAGAGAATGCTAGTAAAGTGTTGGGTGGGCCTGACTCACCCTTTTCCAAATGTGGGGCACAGGAATGGCAGCGAGCTGCAGGCTTATATTACATTGAATTATAGTTTCATGATCTCTCAAAACCACTTTGCGGGCATAGTCATTGATGTCCATGGGGCAATAGGATCTTTTGGAATTACCAGATTGAAAGACACAAACACATGGATCCATCAAGGAGAGCTGGGGGTGTGTTTCTGAGCTTGGCATCAAGGCTGATGGAGCCTCCGTCCAGCAGGAAGAGACCGAATGGTGGGTCTGACTCTGTGGAACAGATGCTATGTTTCTGCCTCCAGAAAAAGCCTCCAGCAATCCAATTGGTTATCTCTGTTCTTTTCCAGCTCCTTACGTGACGTACCTAAATAAAGACCCATCAGCCCCGTGCTCTCTGACTGATGCACTGGATCACTTCCAAGTGGACAGCCTGGATGAAATCATCCCCAATGACCTGAAGAAGAGTGACCTGCCTCCCCAGCATGCTCCCCGCAACATCACCGTGGTGGCCGTGGAAGGTTGCCACTCATTTGTCATTGTGGACTGGGACAAAGCCACCCCAGGAGATGTGGTCACAGGTGTGTCCTAAGCAGAAATCAGAGTTCCCATGATCTGTAGGTGGGAAATGTGGACAATAAAGAATGGTGGATGAGTGGATGGGTGCATGCATGGATGAGTGGGTTGGATGGGTTGGATGGATGAATGGGATGATGGATAGATGTCTTCCTTCAACTGGATGAAATATAGGCAACAATGGAAGCCTCATGGGGTAGGGTAAGGACTACTGGATGGAAGTCAGAAGTCCTAAATCCGCGTCCCAGATTGATTTGCATGATCTTGAGCTCAGTACTTCATCTTTCTGGGCCTTGATTTCCCCATATGCAAAACATCACTACATCTCTAACATCCTATAATCTTGCAAATGGCCAGGGGGTCCAGCTAGCTCCTTGCAGGATCAGATCCTGCAGTGAGCGTGACCATAAGCTCCCGCTGGGCCACACATTTGTCCCTTTTTGGAGTCAGCCCTGGGCTTGTGCCTCTGCCTCTTTCTCTCCTTTCACGTCTGTTGGGTGCTTCCAGACAAATCTGGGTGCTTCTCAGTTCCTTATGTGGGAATAGGAGGTGATGAAAAAATGCCCAAGGATCTTGAGCCTCCTTGGCCTCTGAGATGTTTAAGTTCACTCTGCCAAGGACATATTTGAAGATACATCTTGAAATTTAAGTTCTTATGGAAAGAGAATTGATATTTTCTGTGAATAATTGCAAATTTTTTTTCTGGGCCTCTGAGCTGTGTAAGAGGAAGAAGTATGGCTGTGGCTGTGTGTGTCTCTGACTGGGAGGTAGCGGTCGCATTAGAGGTCAGAGTTTGACATTCTCTGCCATTATTGTGCTAGTGCAGTTCGCACAATTCAAAATTTCTAGTGCTTGTCTTGGTGTTCCCACTATTATATCTTACAATGAAAAAATGTGTCCAAGAATATCCAAAGAGCATCTTCTCTTGTGGAATTTGTACAGCAGCGCAAAAGCTAGAATAAGGGACACAGAAAAGAAGGCTTCTGGGTATTCTGCCAGGTGAGACTGAAGGGCGTGGGATGCAGGGAGGGTTTGGGATTAAGGGGTTCGAGTCTTTAGTGGAACTAAAAGTGCAGTCCTGGGTAGGTGCTACACGGACCGCCGTGAAGTCTGTGGTGTTCCAAATAGAATGCAAATCAATCAATGGAAGGAGGCAAGCTTGTAATCAAACATCCAGAAAATCTTTTTATTAATTGAACACACTTCTGTGAATGGTAATTTTTAAAAGCAAGCAAGAAAGCATACAGAAAAATAATTTAAAACCTTACTTTAAGCTGTTTAGCTTTTGACCTCTTGCATAACAGATATTACTTAACATAAATATATCACTGCGCCCTGATTCAAGGGGCTTCTAAGAAACATTGGCTGCAGAATGAGAGTGTATTGGCCCCACCAAACACGCCTCAAGGGTTCTTGCAGTGAAGAAGGAGCTTTCAGAGAACTCCCAACAAATGTCTCTGAGACTTAATTTAGATGTGATTTCTGTATTGTCCTGTAGAGGTCGGGCTTCTGAAACACCCATGCCTAGGCATTCCAAGCCATTCAAAGCTCCCTAGAGCCTTCATGTCCTCACATGCCCCACCCTGCACCTCATCTGAAACGAAACCTCAGAGCCCTAATCATGAGTACTCACGACACTAGCATAAATAATATGGATGAGGTGTTTATAAGGCACTCCCAATACAGAGCCGTGCCAACTCCTGTCAAGCTGATTACTGTGGAACACTGCAGCACATGACACCCTGTGGTGTGGGGGAAAACACCAGACTCCGCAAGGCTCAGAGAGAGAATAGCGGCAGCTCGTCATCCATTAGTGAACCAAACACCGGCTCTTTCATCTGCAGAACAACGAAGCCAAGTGAATACATCCTAAACTTAAATGAAGCATCACATTATCGGGCCCCCTGCAGGGCATTTGAATCCTGCTGGCTACATGGATGTTGTGTGCTCTGCTCATTTTCACCTGCCATTCTTTCTTTCACAAGCAGTCAAGTCAATGTGTAATGAAGTGGTGCCCGAACAGTGTGAAACTCCTAGAATTCCTGCCTGCAAACTGTTGCTTTCCCAAATCACTCCTAATGAATGAAGTTATTACTTTATTAGGAGTGATTCTGTAGGAAATCACCAACGTGATGACCTCTTAGTTTTTCAGGACCAGCTCATCAGTCACTTTCAGGACTGGTTTTGATGAGAACAACAGAGAGATCAGGAGTTATGATGTGCCCAGCAAGCACCTTATCAAAACCCAGACACAGGATCAGCCGAGAAACCAGTGCCTTACATGGGAAACGCAGGGTTCTGATGGAAGCCAGAGGTCCAAGAGTCTAAGCTTTGCCAACTCCATTGGAAGCTGGGTTTCCGTGGCACACGTGTGACCTCCGTCCCCTCTGGGGTGGGCCATTGTGTGCAGCACCAGTGGAAGCATATGCAGGGCTTGACTGCACTGTGCCAGACGGGAAATGCCGTGAGGAGGGCAGCAACTCTTCCCAAGTTCAATGACTCTCCTCTAGGGAACAGTGTGGGGAGGGCTCCAGGGTCCAGTTCACCTGGCTTCCAGGCCCAGCTTGCCCATTTGTTAGTTGTGTGACACTAATCAGTGATCATAGGGTGCTAAATAAAATCACGTGCACCTCTTAGGTGCATTCGATGTTATTGATCTTTTCCTTCTTCTTAACTTGTGTGATCTCTCTCAACCTCTTCATCTCCTTGCAGGCTTGTACAACATTCAGTGGTGGAATTTCTCAAGGCTTGGTCCTGGGGCCTCTTTTCCTCTTGCTCTGTCTTCTCTCCCCTCAGAGTCTCAACCATGCACATGGTTTTAATTCATCTCAGAAATGAGTCATTGATTTATATCTCAAGGCCAGGCCATCCTCTCCTCTGAGCCCCAAATAGTAAAATCAGATGCAAATCGTAAAATCACTTGATGTCATCACTGGGATGTCTCCAGAGCATCTCAGACTTGGTGTATAAAAAATCAGACTCATCCTGGCTAACATGGTGAAACTCTGTCTCTACTAAACATACAAAAAAATTAGCTGGGCGTGGTGGTGGGTGCCTGTAGTCCCAGCTACTCGGGAGGCTGAGGCAGGAGAATGGTGTGAACCCGGGAGGTGGAGCTTGCAATGAGCCGAGATAGTGCCACTGCACTCCAGCCTGGGCAACAGAGCAAGACTTCGTCTCAAAAAAAAAAAAAAAAAAAAAAATCAGACTCATGATCCTTCCCATCCTTCCCATTCCCAAATCTGGCCCTTGTCTGTGTTTCCCATTTCAGAGAACTGTCCCACTTTCCACACATTTGCTCAAGCCTGAAGCCTTAGAAGCATCTTCAAGTCTCCTTCTATCTCACTTCTATATTCAACTCATCATTAAATCTGGTCAATGTTGCTGTCTGGATTCCTCTTGAACCCATCTATTTCTCTCCATTAGATGCTGTGCTCATCTAAGCTATTGCCATCTCTCACCTGGTTACTGTAAGAGCTGTATAACTAGACTGTCCCATCCACATCTCCACTCCCACACCCAATCCATTCGGCATTCTGCACAGGAGAGATGTGTTGAATATGCAGACCTAATTGTATAGGTTTAATGTCTTAACTGTCTTTCCCTTTCTTTTAGGATGAAAAGCAAAAGCCTAGCTTGGCCCAAGGGTGCTGCCTAGTTTTCCCATCTGTGCTGCTTCAACTTCAGCTCATGCCACCCATTCCTGCCACTTATGGTTTCCAGCCACACTGCCTTCTCCCGGGTCCTCCCTCTTCAGTGTCTTGCCCAGGATTCCCACTACCTGGAATCCATCCCACCTCCTACCACACAGCTTATCTGCTTCTTATCCTTCAGATGTCAACTCCTTTTCTGTGACCCCAGAGAAGCTCTTTGTGTCCTCCATGGTGGGCCAGCTCCCGCTACACACCCTCTCACAGCATCGTGGACTGGTCCTGCAGAGCACTCAACTCAGCTGTGTCATTCTGTTTCCCAGTGCACCCTGCGGCTTCATGAGCTTCTGGTCACTACTTTATCTCCAGCACTTAGTATAATGTCTGGCAAATAGTAGTTGCACAACAAATATTTGTTTAATGAATCAATACTTGTGAACTTAGACAAGATATTTAACCTATTGCTAATACTCAGTTTCCTCATGTGTCAAAATGAGGAAGGCAATACCTACATACTAGGATCATGAGGATTAATCAAAGTCAAATTCAATTGAGAGTACCTAGCTGGCATAATGTTTGGCTCAAAGGAAGTGCTTGACAAATGTTTTCTCCTTCTGTGTACACATAAAAGACCTAGGATATGGGATGCGCTGAGCTGTGGGATGAACTTTACTTTGCCTCCTGGGACAGTTGTAAAGGCTGGGCAGGTGTCAGGGCCAAGGGTTCACCCGCTGAGGTCTGTTATTAGCAAATAAGAGAGAGCAGGTTGGACAATAGAAAGAAGAGCTGCCTCACTGCTGTGATTAGACAGTGAGGGCAAGGGCAGCACAGATACTCAGCAATGAGAAATCGCAGGACAGCCTTCACCAAGTGGGCATGGGACCCCTGGGCGTGTGGGGTCTCTCAGCCCCGCACACATGCACAGCATCCACCAACAACATTCTTCGTTTCCTGTGCAGGGCAATGGTGTACTATCTTACCCGGAAGTTCTTAAATACATGTGTGGAGGGCACTGCTTTTTTCTTCTACTTTTGTTTTTCTCTGTGTGATCAAGATGAGACGTGATTAGTTCTGAGGCGATGGGGAAGGCTGGGGAATGAGCAAGAGAAGTAGGGGGCCAGCAGGCATCAGGAAGTGTCTTAGTTTTGTCATCCCCATCTGGATTCAGCAGAAGGTACCAGTGTTACATCCCATCCTGTCCCACAGTGCCGCGTGCCCTCCTTCCTGTAGTTCCCACATGGAGCTGCATCTGCAGCTTTGCCTCACACCTGTCCTCAGTGGGTTACATCTTGTGTGTGACTTGGTTCCTTGGTGTCCATTGGGTTTTTCCTGTTTCCATTTTCAGGTTACTTGGTTTACAGTGCATCCTATGAAGACTTCATCAGGAACAAGTGGTCCACTCAAGCTTCATCAGTAACTCACTTGCCCATTGAGAACCTAAAGCCCAACACGAGGTACGATGTGTCAGTCATTTAGAAAAGATGAGATCCATGTGCATGGTTGCTGATTTGCTTTGGTTGGAAATGAAGGGAGGAATCAAAATGTTTTTGTGATTTCTTTGAATACCCTGTTTGGTTCTAATAGAATGTCAATGCATGCTTACCATATGTCATATAAGTTTCTTAGAAGAGATGACTGTATGTATTGTCATTGTTAGGCTACTGTGCTTATATTTTCCTCCCTGTTTACCTAAACACTACCTGCCATTAGGGAAAGAAAAGTTGTTATCTGTGTTGAAAGAATCGGTCCATTTTTAGTCCCAATATCGTGGCACTAGGCATCATGACCTTCATATGTGAAAATGGAGCTGCAATCACTAAACACTTAAATGAACTCGTTCCCAAACTCTGTGACATAGAAGTTCACATCATTCAAGAAAGATGCATTTTACACATTTGTAGAGGTTATAAGCATGTCTTCGTAGACTAGGCGTGGCTGGCCAGAGAATCATTTTGGAAGCCAGAGTTTATTGCCCTTGGCATGAAATAGGCAAAACTGGTTCCCAGGAGCACAAAGACAGTGACTGTTCATTCCCCTTGTATGCCATCTGGTTTTGGTGGTAATGACCCTCGGAAAGCTCCTGGGTGGGTGAGCATGGGAAAGCACCAAGCACTTGAGGGTCAAGAGTGGTGTGCTGGTAAACTGGCTCTCTGGGAAAAAACTTCCTTGGTTGATAGCATTTGCCAATTTCTATGGTGTAAATACTACCATTTTGGCCAATTTTAAGCCACCATGGGCTTGCAGACTTCCTGAATACTTAATGACTGGCTCTCACAAGCTGGTACAAATGGGTCCAGCAGACTGCTGTTGTGGGGAGCCACCATATTTGCCTAGCAAAGAGCTCGAAGTGAGGTGAGGGTGCA
The DNA here is from genome assembly GCF_000001405.40 of Homo sapiens. Lineage (NCBI taxonomy): Eukaryota > Metazoa > Chordata > Mammalia > Primates > Hominidae > Homo > Homo sapiens. Next base: position 159,257,541 of record NC_000006.12, read on the forward strand.
CCCAAGGCCTCTCATTTTCTACACAGGCCGAGGAACATGGAGGAGGTTGGAACAAAATGGCCCTCATTAGACAGGCATGTGGTAAAGGGTGTAGAATCTGGACACTAGCTGTGGGCACCGAAAGGCTACTGAATGAGCTGTGAATTTTCCTCAAGACATTTTAATGTGCCATTTGGGCCCGCTTGAGCTGAGCTTTCATAAATTGTTATGAATTTTGGGATTTGGCAAATTAAAAGCAAGTAGTAAACCAGGAAACTGAGAAAGCACTTTTTTAAAACTTTTTCCCTAATAGTAATGGCAAGTTATTTTTTTAATCAATTAGAGAAAACAAAACCAACAAAATTAGAGAAAATGGAGTCAATGTCTTTTTTTTTTTTTTTTTTGGCGAGTGCAGAGTGACAATGCTTTTGCAGCACAGCCCTAGTATCAAAAAGCCAAGAGGCCTTCCAGAGGCCTTGCCACAGAGCTACTTACAACAGAATCTGAATCACAGCCTCCTGACTCGCCGAGTCCAGCGTTCTTTCCACAACTTCTGCTGCCAGACTGATGTTGAGTTTTGAGTCATGTCAGGAGGGTTATGTAGGGCGATGGTTTACTTGTTATTTCAACAGGTATTAGAGAATGTGCATGGCTCATTCAGTCAGTCCTTACTACACACTTCCTGAGCGCAAGGTGGAACATCTGGGCTGGGCTGGGGAAAATACACATGGCCCTGCCCTCAAGGAGCTTACAGTCTGGTAGAAGAGGCAGATTTTTTAAAAAACAACATAAATATAAACCTCCCCTGGTGGGTGTACATCTCCAAGTACATCATGCTTTGAGAGTATATAATGGGGGATTTTTTTTCTTTATGAGCTTGGGGATAGAGAGGGGAGTCATATGAGGTTCTCTGGGAAAGTAAAATCTGAACCATAAGAATCAGTCATCCTGCAGAGAAGGCTGTGCTCCCAGCAGAGAGGATGTCTCAAAGAAGTGTGTGTCCTAGGAAATAAAGGAGGCCGATTGGGAGGAAGGGTGAGGAGAGGCGGGACAGACAGTGCCAGGGGCTCTTGGGTTGGCCCCACACACGCTCAGTGCCTTGAGGCAGAGGAGGAGCAGCAGCTGCTAATCTTCCTCTCCTGAGGTGCCCACCTGCTTATGTGCTCTTCTGGTAGAGACGCTGGCAGCTCCTCCTGCATTTCCTCAAAACCCTTCTGAGCAGCTGCTAAATTTTAGAGCTAAGAAAGTACAAGTGTGATGTAAGGACACTCATTTTCCCCTGTGTCACTAGAATGCAGATCATATCTGGGGAATTCACTTTCGTCATCTCAGTCTTCATGGGGGCTCTCTTGAGAAGCCAGCTTCTGAGTCAATACAGGGGAGACCAGAAGTCAGTCTACCCAAAAGAGGGGCCAGGGCATAAAAGTGAGCTTTGGTTATTTACAATTGGATCTTGCTTTTGACTTTAAGTGAGCATTGTCTACCTTAGTCACCAGACAGAGTCCCAAAGAACTCTTCGGAGTCTGCATATTTTAAATCCATACTTAAAACACACAGACTTGTCATGATTGAGGCTGTTCAAAAGAAGGTGCCAGAAACTTATATAAGAAGGCGAGGCATGGATTGCTTTTGTTACTTGGCTGAGGCAGAGACTATTCAGAGTATGAAATGTATACTTTAGCCCATCAAAAAAGTTTCATGTAGGTTTTAAAAATGGAATTTTACTTTTTGCTTAATTTCATATTGTTTTTCAGCTCAGCATATTTAAATTTACTTTGATAGCTTAGGTGAGGTTTTAATGGGAATATGTCTTTGGAATGGTCACATGTGAGTTTCTGGAGGCCTAGAATCATTGTGTCAACAGGGAAGGTGGATTTGGAGAATATTTAGGCTTTAGTGTCAAAACAAAATCGATACAAACAGATCCATCTGAATAGTGGTTCTCAGCCCGTCAGTCACCCTTCTGCCACCTCCTTGATGGCATAGAGGCACTTCCCTCCTTGACGTTGACTACTCAGCAGAAGTGTCCCATGGAGCCCCTGAGTATGCATCCTTCCTTATGTTTTAATTTCCTTTTCAAAAAAAGTATCTGTAAAGTTTGCCCAGGACTGGAAATGTATGCCAAACCCACTGCTCAAACTGCCTGCAGAGTTTTGCCTTAAATAACTCCACAACCACTGCATAAAAGTACATGTAACTGGGAAAACATGAGCTGCTGAGTGAATTGAGATTTGGAAACTCATATGTTCTTAATTGTGCATATCTTTTTATTTAAATTACAATAAAAAGAATACTCCTAAATAAGATGCAAATGGCTTAGGAAGACTAATTTTACCCAATGGCTTTTCTTTGCTTTCTGTTTAATCAAACTCAAAGTAAAGTATCTCTGTTCTGAGGCCAGAGACTGCCTTGGTGATCCAGCAGCTCAGAAGGCTTGAGGCCAAGGCTGTTGGTGCAATAGGCCTAATAACCCTTTGCTCTCTGAATAGGAATAATTCGCTTTTTAAAAATGTAGTGCATTTTAATTAGTACATGGAATTTGTGTGCCTGACTTAATCAAATAAAGAATTTTATAACATTTAAGTGTGACATTCTTACTGGCCAAAAGCCAGATAAGAGGTCCCTTATGAGCTCTCTAAAATGACAGAGCCACCAGGGATTCTTTACCTCTCTCTTCATCTGTAAGTAGCTAAGCACTAAAAAAGCACATAAAATATCTAGAATCAAGAGGTGAGGAAAGCACAAAGATTAAGATATAGTGGAACACAAATGTGGTGTTGGTCTTTATTACTTCTCTAACCACCATTCTTTTTCTTTTGCTTGTAAGAATGCAAATAACATGCTTCGAGACTCAGTCTCTCTCCAGATGAGCTAGTTGACTCAGGCATCATGCTTTCCAGCACATTCTCTGTTCCAAGACAAAATTTAGCCCTACAGAAAAGCCTCTCTCTCCGGATCTTTCCCCCTTCCCCTTCTTGGACTTGTTTCTCTTTCCTTGAGGCGCAGAAGCTCGTAACTCAGTGACTTTTAAGGTGGTCCCTTCCCAGCTCCAGAGCCAACCACAGTGTTTCTCAATGCACCCAATATACCATTGTCATGTTAGCTTCACTGAAAAGGCAGCCTCCAGCCAGGTTCATCCTCTCCCTGTCAACCATAAGTTGCGTGGCTGCTGGAGCAAACGTCCTGCTCTTTTGCATGGACTCCAGGGATATAATTAGGTTATAATTTGAATTCTGCTTTGTAGTGTTTTGCTCCACCACCCTCTCTCTCTTGGGCTGTGGGACTGAAGCGGAGTCCAGAGTCTTAAACCTGAGCAAGAGCAGGGCTAGAGGAACGTCTCACCAGGGATGAGCTCAGGCGAGTCTGCGCAGAGCAGGGACAGTCCTGATGCAAAGGAACGCGTGCTCAGCAAGCAACCTGTGTTCTAATATGTCCCTTCTACTGCCATTAGCCATGTGTCCCTGCTATGTTAATTGTATTATTTAGAGAATTTATTCAAAACTGAGAAAGTTCAGAAAAAGACATGAAGAATCACTAGTGCTGTATGCATTTGTAAAAAGTAGAACTCAAAGCCTGTCACGGTTCAGGTGTTCAGTAGTTTGGGAGTCTGTTTTGTTACACAGAAATCAAATACATGTCTCTTTCAAAATATATCTTCTTCCAACTTCAGGTATTATTTTAAAGTGCAAGCACAAAATCCTCATGGCTACGGACCTATCAGCCCTTCGGTCTCATTTGTCACCGAATCAGGTATGAATGACTTCACATTCTGATTTGTTTTACTTTTCGAGAAAATGAAATAAATAATCTAGCATGATGGCTACAATAGAATAAATCCTTACTTTTCTATTTAATGAGCTCATGTTGGATATCAGTTTCTAAAGTAAACATCATTTGCTTTGTGCTAGGTTAAAACTTGGATAATAAAATTAAAAGTAGTTTTCACGGGCTCTCTGAAGAACAGAAAGGTCAAATTCCAATGAAAGGAAAAAATCTAGATTTCAACAACATGAGAAAGATAAAGTTGACTCTATCTGTACAAAATTTAGTTGCAGAGTTTTAAAAAAATTATTGCAAGCACCTGAAGAACACACATGTCATGTGGCTGACAGGAAGTTGCCTTTCCAATGAGCCAAGACATTGGATTCCCCCTTTAGTAGAAGGCAGATATATCTTTAATTAATATTGAGAGGTTAATTACAGTATCATTCAGTCTTATAAGCAGTATCATTCAGAGCATGCCCTTGCATTTTGGGGTGCTGGTGGGCAGAGCTCTCAGTCCCTTCAAGAAAATGTTCCTGGTCAGGGGTGGTGGCTCATGCCTGTAATCCCAACACTTTGGGAAGCCAAGGTGGGATGATCTCTTGAGACCAGGAGTTCAAGACCAGCTTGAGCAACACAGGGAGGTCCTGTTTCTACAAAAAAAAAATTTTTTTTAATTAGCCAGGCCTAGTGGTGCATGTCTGTAGTCCCAGCTACTCAGGAGGCTGAAAAGGGAGGATGGTTTGAGCCCAGAAGGTTGAGCTGTAGTGAGCCATGATCATGCCACTGCCCTCCAGCTTGGGTAACAGAGTGAGACCTTGTCTCTGAAAACATAGTTCCTATGACCTATGGTCTAATGTAGCACATGCAGAGCCAGCTACTGTGACAGTTCTTGGCCTAGAGACTTTTCCATGTAGGAAGCCAGGCTGAGTTCAGAGCAACCCAGCTGAGCCAGCCCTGCACCCAGCTTCCATTTGGCTAGGTTACCTTCTACATGCAGTCTGAGCCCAGAAAATGGGTCATTGGAAGATATTTTTAAGTGTAATGATTTAAAAATCTACTCAGTCAAAATAAATGAAAACATAAAATCTTTTGTAAGAATATGCTTTATACCAGAAATGTAGGCAAAGGACCTCAAACATGTTTTCATCTGTTTGTTTAAGAAATATGTTTCTGTTAGTAATTAGGAAACAGCAAGAGAAAACTATTATCTGTGGTTAATTTGCTTAAGTAAGGGATGTGTCTGTGATTATGACTGCATTTCTAAAAACAAAGTGGACCTTGGCAACTATCAGAATCAATGTGAAAAAAATATTTAAAAAAATTCAAATCCAAAAAGCTATCAAGAAACTCTGATCTGAAATCTTTCTGAGAGTAAAAGTGATATACACGTAACTTCTGGAGCTGCAATCTAAAGTTTTGATAAAACAGCTGTCTTCTACCTTCTCCTCCAAGAAAAACTCCTAACTCATTCTTTATGGCCTCCAAGGGATGGGTGAGGAAAATTCAAGGCCCCACCCTACCCTCTGAATAAGAATCTCTCCAGGAAACACTTTCAATGAGCTCCCAGAGGAGCCTCACACACATGAAAATTGGACAATTAACTTGCTCTGGTCATCTTCCTTTATTCCATCAGTTTATTCAAGTTTCTCCTTCATTTTGTGATAACCTGCTGAAAATGGCTAGGCGAGCAACAGGCAAATGATAAAGTCAGTGAATTATGGCATTTGCCAAACATAACAATTGGAAAATTAATATAGAAAGTCAACGTAGTGTGTGACACAGGCTGTGCCATGAGTTCAGGGTTTTGTCGTCTGTGCTGGTGTCATTTTGTTTGTTTCACTCCACCTGCCCTGGGGTATTTGGGACTTTTTTGGCAGACTGCTGAACTTCAGTTCAGAGCAGGGGAGCAAAGCAAGCATTTGACACTTATGGCCATGGTGTTTCCCTCTATTTTGTGGATAGCAGAGGACATCAGAACAAATGGTCTGTACAAAGCACAGCCTAGGGAGATTTGGGGGTGATGGAAACATTTTGCAGGTTGATTTTGGCAGGATTCCATGAACTGATGCAGGCGTGAACATTCATAGGATACATATCCTAAAACAGCAATTTACTGTATGATATTTTTTTCAAAAATAAAAAAAGAATGGTCCAGATTTACCTAGTTCGTGGCATTTTATAAAAATGAACTTTTTTGGCTGGCCACGGTGGCTCACTCCTGTAATCCCAGCACTTTGGGAGGCCGAGTCAGGCGGATCACGAGGTCATGAGATCGAGACCATCCTGGCTAACACAGTGAAATCCTGTCTGTACTAAAAATACAAAAAATTAGCCAGGTGTGGTGGCGGGCGCCTGTAGTCCCAGCTACTCGGGAGACTGAGGCAGGAGAATGGCGTGAAGCTGGGAGACGGAGCTTGCAGTGAGCCAAGATTGTGCCACTGCACTCCAGCCTGGGTGACAGAGCGAGACTCCATCTAAAAATAAAATAAGATAAAATAAAAATAAAATAAAAAATAAAAAATTAGCCAGGCATGATGGCGCATGCCTGTAATCTCAGCTACTCAGGAGGCTGAGGCAGGAGAATCACTTGAACCTAGGAGGTGGAGGTTGCAGTGAGCCGAGATTGTGCCATTGCACTCCAGCCTGGGCAACAAGAGCAAAACTCCGTCTCAAACAAACAAACAAACAAAAAAAGAACTTTTTCTAAAGCAGAATTCCTTGAAAAGCTAGTGTCATATTCTCTTAAGTGGTGTTACTTGGGCTAAGATAGAGACAGGTTTTACATTTGTTGAGGTATAAATGGCATACAGTAACCTGCACCTACTTGAAGTGTACATCTTAATGTATTTTGAGTTGTGCTTATACCCATGAAGCCATTGTCACTGTCAAGATAGTGAGCATATCCATCTGCTGGACAGTTTCCTCCTGCTACTGTGCAATGCAGCTTTCCCAGGGTCCTTGTCTCTCTAGTTTATAGGCAAACATTCATCTGCTTCCTGTCACTATAGATTAGTTTGCACTTTCTAGATTTGGGTATCAGTAGACTCATACAGTATGAACTCCTTTGACTGGCTTCTCTCACCTAGCATAATCATTTTGAGATTCATCCAAAACATTGTGTGTATCAGTAGTTCACTCTGTTTTACTAGTGAGCAGTATTTCCTTGTATGGCTGTGCTACAGTTTGTTTACCTAGTCAGATCACCTGTTGATAAACACTTGTGTTGTTTCAACTTTTTGACTATTACAAACAAAGATGCTATAAACATTTATGTGGAAGTGTTTGGATGGACATATGTTTCCATTTCTCTTGGATAAATGACTGAGTGGAATGGATGGATTTTGTAGTAGGTGTACGCTCACCTTTTTAAGAAACCACCACACTATTTTCTAAAGGTAGACAATTTTTTTAAATGAGTACTGAATTATTTTGTAATACATAATACCAAAACCTTACTATTTTCAGGGATCCACAGCTTCTAGGTAAATAGCAACACACTCTAACTAGAAAACAGTATTTCTCAAAAGGAAATGTTTAGAAAATAAAACCAAGGAAAACGTTGGCATCTATCAAACCTTATCTTTTTCTTTATTCTAATTTGGTTAGCTATTTCAGTTACACTAACCATTTAAAGAATTGCATGATTGTGAAATATGGCACAGAGTCCATTATTTCTTTTTCATTCTACAGATAATCCTCTGCTTGTTGTGAGGCCCCCAGGTAAGTTTATGTTCTTGATAATCTGGACATTCTGGTAATCAAGTTGAATATTGAATATGAGATTGTTGTGATTACTCACAATTAGAAAGTCTGGACCATTTTCACAATTTTCTGTCAACTTCTATGCTTTCCTTGCACTCGTCATCCTGATCTTCTTTACTCTGTGGGAAAGAATGACCTGGGAATTTTAAAATAGAGCCATAGCAATCAACATCTATGAAAAAACACTATGGAGTAGCCAGTCCTATGAAACAGATACTTTATTTTCATGACCATTTGAATATTTTAAATCACTGAAAAGGTAGCAAAGTGCAACAAGTAAAACAGCAAGTTTTACGTTGTTTTTCAAGGAAATTGAGAAAACCTTGTTGCTTGACTGCAAATCAGGTCTTCTGAGTGGCAAGAAGTGGAGTCTATGCAGAGGGACCTGGGGACAGGATGGCATGCCCCAAAAGACCAAATCTGCCATTACAGCTTATTTTCCTTGCCGTTTAAAGACTTCTTAACTCTGAGAATCCCTTATTGAAATGTGTATACTTTAAATACGTTCAGGTAAATGGAACGGCCCAAATGTACTTTAGTACTAAAAAACACAAAGAAAGAGAAGGAGGGCGGGAAAACTTTGCTCAAAAAAGCCCTGCAAGGCCGGGCGCGGTGGCTCATTCCTGTAATCCTAGCACTTTGGGAGGCCAAGGTGGGCGGATTGCGAGGTCAGGAGTTTGAGACCAGCCTGACCAATGTGGTGAAACCCCGTCTCTACTAAAAATACAAAAATTAGCCGGGTGTGGTGGCGTGCACCTGTAATCCCAGCTATTCAGGAGGCTGCGGCAGGATAATCCCTTGAACCCGGGAGGTGGAGGTTGCAGTGAGCCGAGATCGTGCCACTGCACTCCAGCCTGGGTGACAGAGCGAGACTCCATCAAAAACAAACAAACAAACAACAACACAAACAAACAAACAAACAAAAAGCCCTGTAAGGAAAGGAAGGCCCAGGAAGTCAGTGCAATTTCCTGGCACTTTGTGTGAGAAGACACACTGTGGAGTGCTTACCCTTAGCAGGTGTGTTTTGTGTTGTCAAGGCGGTGAGCCTATCTGGATCCCATTCGCTTTCAAACATGATCCCAGCTACACGGACTGCCATGGACGGCAATATGTGAAGCGCACGTGGTATCGAAAGTTCGTGGGAGTTGTTCTTTGTAATTCACTGAGGTATAAAATCTACCTCAGTGACAACCTGAAAGGTAAGTCTTTGTGCATGGTTGGCTATGGGAGGTATGGAACATTTTGATTTATCAAGTACAAACTTGGCACCACAGGTGCATCGGAATGTTTATGAGGGCTGGAGCTACGACTATGGCTCACTCTGCCTCTAATACAAACCAATTTTACAGATTCTACTTTGAGGATACTAGTTTTTACACTGGCAACCCAAAAATATTTTAAAAGGTTTACTATGTTGGCCGGGCACAGTGGCTCACACCTGTAATCGCAGCACTTTGGGAGGCCGAGGTGGGTGGATTACTTGAGATCAGGAATTCAAGACCAGCTTGGCCAACATGGTGAAACCCATCTCTACTAAAAAGAAATAAAAAATGAACAAATGAAAAATTCACTATGTCTTAGGAATGACATAGTGACTGGCTATGTCATTCCAAAATTCTATTAGAAATCTAGGGTTTTTTTTTTTTTTTTTTGCCACTAATACAATAATAATGAGTACGAGCGTGAGCTGGAATAATTGAGGAAAAGTTTCCTCTCCAGCCCCTGACACAGCCACAACTTTACAGAGAAAAAATGTAAATGGTGGAACATATATCAGCAGTAATATTTGTTCTGTGTCCTAATAAAAATCACATTGTTTTTATCATGGTGGGAGATTAAAACAAAGAATAATTCGAGTGCTTTGAGCTGCTAACACTTCCTAATGCGATTTCTATTCAGCTGGCTTTTCACTGACCCACCGACACAGCAAATTTGTTTTTTATTTTTAAACTTGCACAACTCTAAATTTTTCAGTGTATACATTGTTAAAACTTTACCTCAGCTGGTCTACATTTTGTTGTTGGTCAAAAATATATTTTGGGCATTTTTTGTTGTTTTTCTTTTTCTTGTTAGTAGTGATCATTTAAAAACTATCAAAACAAAGTCCCTCCTTCGACCCCAACCCTAGCAATTTCTGTGTATATGCTTCTCCCAACAAGTACGGTCTGTCTCTCTCTCTCTCTCTGCTCTTTTCTTTCTCTTCCATCACTGTCCTTTTCCTCCCCTGCTTCAGAATTCCTAGGAGAGGCTGCATAACCATGTGTCATATCCCAGAATTGGGAGAAACAAGTTTGTCCTACTGTGCAGCCATGGCTCAGGACCATGGACAGCGTCTCATGCCACAGGCCCGCCCCCTCCTAGTTACACATGAAAATAGATTCTTCTATTTGTATAGACCTTCCTGCCTTTCATAGTAACTTCATGATGTATTCTCCAACTATCATAGTTTTCATCATTCCTTTTTTTTTTAGAACTAAGGAATAGAAAAGTCTACTCGAAACTGCCTATAGTGTTAATGCTGTAATTCCAACTTACTGGACATTCATTAAGTATTTAGCATACTTTGATCTTGCTGAATTCTTACAACCTTTATGAGATTGGTGCCATTATCACCATTTTCAGACATGAAAAATACAGCACACACAGTTTAAGTAATATGCTGAATTCAAACAGTCTCCAAAGCTTGTGCAAAAAAACTCCTAAACCAGTTGTGACTTTCTGTACCTAGTCATGGACTCAATCAATTCCTTCATGCAGATACATTCTACAGCATTGGAGACAGCTGGGGAAGAGGTGAAGACCATTGCCAATTTGTGGATTCACACCTTGATGGAAGAACAGGGCCTCAGTCCTATGTAGAAGCCCTCCCTACTATTCAAGGTAATACAAACAAATGCCTGATATATTATCCTAGGAGGTGGGAGACAAGGATTAATAGAGGGGGAAAATCCACAGTAGGTCTGCCTTTGCCTTGTCATTCGAAGATGGATGTTGGGAGCACTTAAGGTCATAAAAATAAATAAAATAAAGAATCAACAAAATACTTCTATTATGCATGGGTGAGGGGGTGAGTCTCAAGGAGGTGGGGAACGGCATGAACAAAGGTACAGAGAAGGCAAAGATAAACACACATGCAGACCCACCGTGATATGTTTCAGGAGGTAACGTATAAGCTATTTGATTGTGGCATTATAAGGTGAAGACAAAATACACTAATCTCAAAGGTTAACAATTAATGTTACTAACTCTCTCGGCCTCCAAATGAATAAACAGAACAACTGAGTACAGTCTAGCACCCTTTTGATTATGCACTCAGCTCTGAGTGATCAGGTATTTTCCAGACATGAGATGTTCTGATTTGCTAAATTTTTAGATTCGAAAAAATGCTGTAGGTAGCTACATGAATTACCCATTTTCAAAAAATAAAATACAGTAAAATACAGAAAAGAGTAAAATAAGCATATTAGTCAAGGTTCTCTCATCCAAAGAAACAATCAATAGGATCTCTCTCTCTATCTATCCACCCATCCATCTATCCGTCTCTCTCTCTCTATCATCTATCTATATCTATCTACTCAACTACCTATCTATCCATCTATGTATGTATGTATGTATCCATCCATCTCTCTATCCATCTATCTATCCATCCATCCATCTATCTATCCATTTATGCATCCATCTATCTATCTATCTATCATCCATCCATGTATCTATTATTAATCTATCTACACATCTACTTATGTATGTGTGTATCTATCTATTCATCTATCTATTCATCTATCTATCTATCTATCTATCTATCTATCTATCTATCTATCCATACTGTCTATCCTTATATTTATAACTATCTATCCATCCATCTGTTCATCTGCTTGTCTATCTCTGTATCCATCATCTATCTATCCATACTTCAATCTATCTATCCACCTATCCATGTATCTATTTATCCATCCATCCATCCATCCATCCATCCATCCATCCATCCACCCACCTCTAGGTATCTATCTATCTGTCTATCTATCTATCTATCTATCTATCTATCTATCTATCTATCCATTTGTTTATCTAGGTATCCATCCATCTGTCCATCCATCTATCTATCCATCTGTCTATGTATGTATGTATGTATGTATGTATCCATCCATTATCTACCTATTCATATCTATCTATCTATCTATCTATCTATCTATCTATCTATCTATCCATCTATCATCTATCTATCTATCTATCTATCTATCTATCTATCCATCCATCCATCTATCCTATCTATTTATCTAACTATCTATCTATCTATCTATCCATTTGTTTATCTAGGTATCCATCCATCTGCCCATCCATATATCTATCCATCTGTCTATGTATGTATGTATGTATGTATGTAGGTATCCATCCATTATCTACCTATTCACATCTATCTATCTATCTATCTATCTATCTATCTATCTATCTATCTATCCATCCATCCATGCATCCATCCATCCATCCATCCATCCATCCATCCATCCATCCATCCATCCATCCATCTATCCTATCTGTCTGTCTGTCTGTCTGTCTATCTATCTATCTATCTATCTATCTATCTATCTATCTATCTATCTATCTATCTTATTATTTTAAAGAACCGTCTCACACAATTGTGGAAACTGAAGTCCAAAATCTGCAGGGTAGGTTGTCAGGTTGGAGATCCAGGGAAGAGCTGATGTTGCAGTTCAAATCCAAAGGCCACTTGCAGGCAGAGTTACCTCTGGTTAGGGGAACCTCAGTCTTTTTCTATTCAGGCCTTTGAATGATTGGACAAGGCCCACCCACAATATGGAGGGTCACCTGCTCTAGTCAGTCTGGTGATTTAGATGTTAATCTTGGCCAGGCACTGTGGCTCACACCTGTAATCCCAGCACCTTGGGAGGCTGATGTGGGAGGATTGCTTGAGCCCAGGAGTTTGAGACCAGCCTAGGCAACATAGTGAGACCCCATCTCTACAAAAAGTAAAAAAATTATCCAGGTGTGGTGGTGCATGCCTGTAGTCCCAGCTACCCAGGAGGCTGAGATGGGAGGACTGCTTGAGCTGGTGAGGTCTAGGCTGCAGTGACCTAGAGGTGACCTAGTGATCTAGAGGTCTAGGCTGCCTTTTGGTTAAAGAGCCATTTGGTCTGTCCTGCAAGTCTGTCTTGGTTTTGTGGCCCCACTGCAAGAGGACAACAGACTGGGTAACATAGCAAGATCTTATCTCCAAAATAAAGAAAAGAAATACAATAATAAATGGTAATCTCATCTAAGAAATAGTTTACAAAAACATTTAATGTTGGATCAGATATATAGCCTAGTCCAGTTGACACATAAAATTAACTATTACAACAAATCTACAAACTATATCACCTTTCTTCATTTTTTTCTGGGTCTTACAGTCCCTCAGGGTTACTAGTGCCTGCATTATCCATATTCCATGGTGTCCCTGTGACTGTGGTCATGGGACTGGCCCTGAACAGAGCTGCTGGGTATTCAGCACACTCACTGGTGGAAGGGCAGGCAGCTATTTATTTGGCAAAAGTAAACAGGGCCAAGAGTGTGAGAGCAGTTATTGAGTTTCCAGAAAAATTTTTAGAAGGTTGGAGCATCCCTCCTACTTCAAGGGAGAAATGGTCAGAAATGCTACAGGTTTTTTTTGAGAGATTTCCTTGAAAGGTCTAAAAATCTACCCCAGAGTCCAGGAATTAAGCCTTGGAGGATAGAGGTAAGTTGGGGGCCCTGAGCTCTGTAAGAATGGGGCAGGAATCTGGCTCAATGTCATCCATCCAGGTCAGGGCCTGCCCAGTAGTGAGTGCTGACTAGCAACTGGCTAAAATTATCTTCTTCCATGGGGAGAGAGAGATCATGCCATCCTAGCTGTGTCACACATGTGTGGGGACTGGACGATCTCTACAGATCTGTTTGGGATAAAGAAATACTTTACACTTAGTCACTGGGTTCCTATGGAGGAGGCCTGAGCTGGTCCCCAGCTCCAGCATGGCCCCTGAGTTACAGCTGGGCTTTCCCAAAAGGCATAAGAGACAGGTGGGGAAGACCCCACCCCAGGCTGGGGTTGGGGCTGGGCCCGAGGTCCTGGCCCTTCCCCAGGGCTATGGCAACCACACACAAAAATGGTTCAGTTTATTTGAAAGTAGCGTTTTGTCACAAGAACAACTTATCAGAGGCCTTCTGTCTGAAGGAGGCTGTAAGGATGAGTTCTACCTGTTGGTTCAGGGGCCTCTGACGCTTTTCCCCTCTCCTGTTGCCCTTCCAGGCTACTATCGCCAGTATCGTCAGGAGCCTGTCAGGTTTGGGAACATCGGCTTCGGAACCCCCTACTACTATGTGGGCTGGTACGAGTGTGGGGTCTCCATCCCTGGAAAGTGGTAATCACAGGACCGTCATGCTGCAAGCTTGCCCTGCCCAGCCCCACCAACTAAGTCGCACTAGGGGCTGTGAGCAAAGACAGCCAGCGTGCTCAGCCCCGCTGCCCTAGGTGCCAGGAAGGTCATAGATGGACACTGGCCATTCTGGTCATCTCAGTCTGGAACTCAGTCCCACTTCTTGGCCTGGACAATGAACAGGATTCAGTTTTGCTGTTAACTTTGCTTCTCTACTTTTTTTTGTTTGTTTGTAATAGCACATCCCAGAGACATCAGAAACCAGCAACTGATTCAGTGTGATTTCCAGACTTTTTAGGCATGAAATTCGGACACTTCAGTATTTCCAGGAATAGCATATGCACGCTGTTCTTGCTTCATGGAATGCTACATGCTTTCTGTTTTTCTCATTTTGGATTTCTCCAAAACTAACTGAATTTAAGCTTCAGGTCCCTTTGTATGCAGTAGAAAGGAATTATTAAAAACACCACCAAAGAAAATAAATATATCCTACTTGAAATTTACTCTATGGACTTACCCACTGCTAGAATAAATGTATCAAATCTTATTTGTAAATTCTCAATTTTGATATATATATGTATATATGCATATACATATCCACACTTGTCTGCAAGAATATTGATTAAAATTGCTAAATTTGTACTTGTTCACCAGATAAATGTGTGTGGGAATTTTTGGGCAAAAGTATTGTGTATTAACATCTTTTAGAAGTATCCAGGGATACATACTATGCACACTCTAGCAACAGTGGAAGGTATGCATTCTTTTTGTGGGTGCTGCGGGGCTCTGAAATGATGAGGAGGATGAGATACCATCAGTATCAGTACTAGAACTGGCCACACCATTGACCACTGCACACCAAGTGCTTTCCACCTGAGGCGACGATCTTTCCACATCCACGGGGAAAATATATTTGTTGCCGCCATGGAGGCATATCCAGTATGTTCCAGATGGATAAAGATTTTAGATCCTAAATGATTTAAAAGTCTTGTTTTTAAGAATTCCCTTTGTCTTTCCTTCTTAGCTCAACATCTGCTCATTGAAATAGAAGCATCTTGCCTCTCTTGACTGTAGCACAAGAGGGTTTATTTAAAGATATTTCATTCTGATTATTATTATTACTATTATTTTTTGAGACGGAGTTTCACTCTTGTTGCCCAGGCTGGTGTGCAAAGGCATGATCTTGGCTCATCGCAACCTCCGCCTCCTGGGTTCAAGCGATTCTCCTGCCTCAGCTTCCAGAGTAGCTGGGATTACAGGCATGTACCACCACACCTGGCTAATTTTATATTTTTAGTAGAGATGGGGTTTCTCCATGTTGGTCAGGCCGGTCTTGAACTTCCGACCTCAGGCGATCTGCCCGCCTCAGCCTCCCAAAGTGCTGGGATTGCAGGTGTGAGCCACCGTGCCCAGCCCTCATTCTGATTATTTTTAAAACATGCTGTCCTTTCCATGAGCGTGGCTGGTCCCTGTCCCTAAGGTGGCACAGTGCCTTGAAGGGCTTATCTTCTTTCACAAAGCTGTCAGCAGAAGAGCAGCAATGGTGGAAATGGGCTGGAGGCAATTGCTTTTCTGGGACCTTTGGACTGCACCCCTATGCAACCCATTCAACTGCAGAATGCAGTTCCCGCTCCTGGAGTTGATTATTATCAGTGCCAGCACTGAATTGAGGTGAAACCTAATGTGTCTGGTAGGTTTGAAGGTAAAATGTACAAAGACAGAAGTAACTTTGCAGGGTCTTTGTGACGGATCCATGATGTCTGATATTTTCCTCATATTCTACAATCTCCTTTCTACAGTCAACAGCAGTAAAGAAAATACAAGCATTCTGACCTCGTGGAAAAGTACTAGAATTCCTTAGGGAGACAGATCATCTGTTACCCACGTTTTAGTTTGGAAAATAGAGTAGGAATCTTTAAGCAGCTTTGGGGTCTCTTATACATAAAAAGGGACTTCAAGAAGGAGATGGCCTATTTTTCACACTAATCCACATTCAAATATGCTTGCAATGCCAAGCCAAAGATAAGATCTTTAAGTATAACTGAATTTCTTAATAAGCACATTACTTGCTTCCCTTATCTCCTCTCCCTCCAAATATCTGTGTCAGCATCTGTATTAGTCAGTTTTCACACTGCTGATAAAGATATACCTGAGACTGGGTAATTTACAAAAGAAAGAGGTTTATTGGACTTACATGTGGGGAGGCCTCACAATCATGGCAGAAGATGAAAGGTACATCTCACATGACTGCAGACAAGAGAAGAGAGGTTGTGGGGGGAAACTCCCATTTTTAAAACCATCAGATCTCGTGAGACTCATTCACTATCATGAGAACAGCACAGGAAAGGCTTGCCCCATGATTCAATAATCTCCCACAGGGTCCCTCCCACAACATGTGGGAATCATGGGAGCTACAAGATGAGATTTGGGTGGGGACACAGAGCCAAACCATTTCAGCATCCACCAGCAGATTGCTCATTTCCTGCAAATGTTTTCTTGGGTCTAAATAACTCAGAATGCATGAGAAAAGAGCCATTTGGTCTGCCTAACAATCCTGTATTGGCTATGGGGCCCCACTGGAAGAGGTGGGCATTAGGGCTCAACATAGAGACACAAGTGACTGCTCCTCTGTGATTCGCCACCCCTGAGAGGAGTTTATGCTTACTTCACAGAAATACAAAGAATTCACTGGCATGCACTCATGCAACGATTTTTGAGCTCGGCCTGACATCTTTAGGCTGTATTTGATTACAGAAATTTGAACTTTTATTAAAAATAAATGTTTGCAATTTTAGATGAAAATTACTGTAATTCCCAGGTGACAAGAGCTGCCAAAACAAAGACAAAAACAATGCATCCGAGCATAGGTGGTAAGATTGATTATCAATATTCTGCCCAAATTAACCAAATCTCCAGTACCGTGTAAATTCTGGAAGCCACATTTTAGGAAGGCTATTTGCAGCGAGATGCCAAGGAGACATTCAAGTTAGTAAGAAGTTTGAAAGCCATTTCGTATAAAGTTAGGAAGAACTTGGTGGGAATGTTTACCTAAAGAGGGAAAATCTCATCTATTTAAAAAGCCTGCGAGGAAGAGGACAGTTTGCCAACCCTTGAGGTCAGAAGTAGATACAAGTGGGAATCAGGAAAACAAAACTTGGCCCAATATGACAAAGAATTTTAGAAGGATCCAACTATCAAGTGAGCCTCCTTGGGAAACGGTGAGATGTCTGTCCCTGAAAGACTAAATATAACTGGAAATGTCTAAACCTGCAACTTGAGGCCCCTGGCTTGTTTCTATGGCCTGTGAGCTCAGGATGTTTTTTATTTTTTATTTTTTATTTTTTTAAACCTATTTAAAGGGTTGTAAGCAAAGCAGCTAAATAGTGTTCAACAGGGGCCACATGATGTTCACAAGCCCTAAAATATTTACTGTTTGGTCCTTTAGAAAACAGTTTTTGTACCTAGCCGGGCGTAGTAGCTCACACCTGTAATCCCAGAACTTTGGGAAGCCGAGGTGGGCGGATCATGAGGTCAGGAGATCGAGACTATCCTGGCCAGCATGGTGAAACCCCATCTCTACTAAAAATACAAAAAAATTAGCTGGGGATGGCGGCGCGTGCCTGTAATCCCAGCTACTTGGGTGGCTGAGGCAGGAGAATCACTTAAACCCAGGAGGTGGAGGTTGCAGTGAGCCAAGATGGCGCCACTGCACTCCAGCCTGGGAGACAGAGGAAGACTCCATCTCAAAAAAAAAAAAAAAAGAAAAAAGAAAAAAGAAAAAAGTTTTTGTACCCACAGATTAGCATTTTCTTGATGTTTGAAAAAAGTTTAAGCTATGTCCTAATTTAAAAATGAGCACAAACTACTTAACAGATGTCTGTTCCCTCTTCTCTTACTTAAATTATCTTTATTTTCACCATCACCTCCCAGTGCCGAACACCTGAGCTCTGTGTTTTGTGGTTGGATCCTGGGTTGCCAAGTTCCTATTTGGTCAGTCCCTGGCCTGTGGGGCGGTCTCAGGAAGTGGCATGCTCTTCACGAGGGATCGTTCATCTCCAGTATAACCATTTTGTTAATAATAGTTGATAATTCCCAGCTTTTACCAGATGAGTTTTGACTTATTTTTCCTCCTTTGACCTGTTCAAGCTACATATCTCGGTCAGTTCGAGAGGGTGGGGGATTTGAGAATGTGAGGAGGAGTGGGGTTAGAATGGGTTTGCCTATCTGGGCAAGGAAAGAGTTCCTAGTCGATTGGGCACAATGACAAAATGATTCCATGGATAGAATCGTCCCATGTTGCTGGAACACCTCACGTGTTGTGAACGCCTTAAATTCCTGCCATCCCTTCTCTGATTCCCCACCTCCCTGTAGTTTCCACAGGATTTATCTCTCTGTACCCCCGTCCTCCAACTCTACTCTGTCAGCCTCTCCTCCATCCCTTACTTCCCTTCTAAATTCCAGGAGATGACCTCACTTTGCAAAGCAAATTGGAGCCACCAAATTGTAGCTCTCCTCGGTGGAACCTGCATCTGTGCTCATCCCTGCACCTTCTTGCAGAAAGCCGCCCCCTCAGGCCAAGATGAGTGCCTGGCCCCCATGGGAGACTCAGACACTTTGACCCCTTGTGACTTCAGCATCTCCCTCTTTAAAGATTCTCTCCCAACATTCAGTCGTGCTCGAGTCTCCCCATCACTCCTGCCCCTTCAGCTCCTATCACGCTGTCCTCCACTTTGATCTGAGTTTCTGGAATCATCACCTTTGTTTTAGCTCTGACTCTCCTCCACATCCCATTCATTTCTCACTCCACTGTGCCATGGTTTCCAGGGCCACCTCCTCACACCCTCACTCTCCCAGGTCCCCAGTCACCCATGGGAGCTGAATCCGGTGGCTGCTGGGCAGTCTGTTCTGTCTTGGTCTTTCAGCAGCACTTGGCAGCGTTCACCAGCTTGTCCTCTTGAACTTTCTCTTGCCTGGATTTTTCCCTTCCCCGCTCCGGAAGAGCAGCCGGGCCTTCTCACCCCTTGTTTAAGGAGATGTGGTGCGTTGAGGTGAAAACAGATGGTACCTGAATGGCACTTTCTCCTCAGACTTTTCTTTCAAAAGCCTAAACACGCTGAGGAGAATGTGTAAGGGCGGAAGTGGGAGTAAGTGAGTGCTTTGGGGGTTGTTGTGGGGTTGAGGTAAGACTTGAGAGGAGCAGTGGACGAGGAGACCTTTCCCCGAAGTCTGCGCACTGGATGCCAGGCTGGGCTTCCTGGGAGGCCCTGCAGACCACTCCTTCCTGCCTCTCTTGGATGGGGCGGAATGCAGATGGCTGTGGTGAGCCCATGAGGCTCTCGGCTTGCCCAACCCCCATTCTTCCTCCCCACCCCTTTGTCGTGCGAGCAGGAGGGTGGGGTGCCTGCCTTCCTTCAGGGGTCCATGGAGGCTCCGGCAGTGAACACAGAGTTGGTGACACGTTACTCCTCTAATTCACCGAGCAAGTGTCAACTGACTCCAAAATATATGCCAGACACATTTTGAGATACCGTGGCACAGAAATACACAGGGCCCTTGCCTAAATACGCAGGGCCCCTGCCTTCATGGAGCCTGTGTCCAGGTGGGAGCAGACAGAAAACATGCAGCCAGTGTGTCAGGGGTCAGGTGGTGAAAGTGAATGAACATGAGTAGAACATGAGTAGTACCATAGGCAAGTGGGCCCTGAAGACAACAAAGAGGACCGTCAAATGCTCGGTTCCTGCAGAGGCCTCAGACACTGTGTGGCTGGGAGAAGGGAGGCGATTATGGCCGGAGCACCAAAAATGACTGGGACTTAAAAACCTCAGGTGCAATTTTCAAAACAATGACAAAGTAATGCTCACTTCCTCACCTCTGCACTCAGCAGGACTAGCCCACTTTCCATTGTGTTGCTATGCCTTGGATACCTAAGGGAGGGGGTCTTACCCACAGGGTGAATCCAATCCAAATCCGTTCACCCCACCAATCAGCCACCTTCAAGCTCCAGGCATGGAGAGGACAGGGGAGGGACAAGAACCTCCCACCACAGGTGGCCCAATCAGGCTTCAGCTCCCTCCCAAACAGTGTCTGGGATCTTACCATGTATTTGTGTGACTCGAATGTGTGATTTTTCCTGAAACAAAGTGTACCTATCTCCAGTGACAGAAAACTGCTGGCAACTTTTAGAAAACATAAAAATTAATAGAAAAACTTTTATTTTTAACTTTTATTTTGATCATTTTTAAAACTTTGCCAGACCAATTTTTACGGCCTACTAAATTGTAAAGATCATGAAGACTGAGGTCAGGCTGTTTGTTCACTGTCTTGTCCCTAGCATCTAATCCAGCCTGGCCCATAGCAGGTGCTCCATACATGACTCTTCGTTGGAAGGACGGATCCTTAACCAACCTGCTGCTCGCCTCCCTGACTGCATTTCTTCTATGTGTGCTACTTCGTTCAGCCTGCTGGCCCTGCTTACATCCGTTCAGGGAACAGAATGAAGGAGGCCAGGGTCATTTTCTCCAGGAAGTCCCGCCGACAGGCAAAAATGCCCCAGTGTCTGACAATAGACTTCTGTTAGTTTGTTTCCAGTTCTGTGATCATGTTTTTCATTTTTTATAATTTTTCCATTTAGAAATTTGACACCCAACAGCCAAAGTACTTTATATGCCATTGTAAAGTAGAACCTGGAATATAAAAGTCTGGTAGCTCAAGGCTATTATGTTTCTTTCTTTCTGTTGGAAAGAAGACTTGCAGTTGGGGCAAAAAATGGGACAGTTGAGGAAAGAAACCACGCAAATGTTTCTGAGCCATCGTGGCCCCCAGAAGACTCCTACTTTCCCTAGTCCTCCAGAATCCAGGTTGACACCAGCAGTGGGGGGATCTGTGCTCAGGCTAAGGAAGGGGTGGCCAGAAAAGGGATCAGGATGGCTCCCTATATTGACTGTTTGCTTTCTCCCTCTGCTTCTAGCTTGTTTTTCATGTTTTTGCCATCCCCTTGCACTGGCCAGGCCAGGACTCCTCAAAGTGCTTGAAAGTTACACCTTATTCTATTATCCTTTCTGAGAAAAGCAGCTTTGGGAAGGAGCAAATGTAGGCTGCCCTGCCACAGCTCATCAGACAAGAATGATGCTGCAAGGTGACCACGGGGACACTCCAGATGGGGCCATAGGATGTCCCAGTAGGAGGAGATAGGGGGAGAGATTCTCTCTCTCTATCTAATCTTTATATCTATCTATCTGTTTATCTATCTTATCTATCTAATCTATCATCTATCTACTCTATCATCTATCCATTTATCTGTCTAATCTATCTTATCTATCTAATCTATCACCTATCTACTCTATGTATCTATCATCTATCTGTCTATCTAACTGGTCTTTATCTTATCTATCTATTTTATCTATCTAATCCATCATCTATCTTATCTATCATCTGTCTATCTATCTTATCTTTTTCTATCTAATCTATCACCTATTTTATCTATTTACCTGTCATCTACCTATCTACTCTAGCTATTATCTATCTATCTATCTATCTATCTATCTATTATCTATCTATCTATCTATCTATCTATCTATCTATCTATCAATCACCATCCTTCCCTCTAGTAATGCCAACCAAGATTTCAACAGTGATACCAGGAGAAGGTTGGAGAGCAAGAGAGACACCGGAAGAGCCAAGCTGGTCTGGGAGTGCCCATCTTTCTGTTTGCTCCTGGAATGTTTGCTCTCACTCAGAAACCTTGGTTTCTGCTCCACGACTCTTCTCTATCCTTGCTTTCCACAACCTTAGTCACACTTCCACAAAGACAATAAAACCACCTAAGAGATATGGATCTTGTATGCATAAATTAAGCAAACATTTATCATTTACTAACTACATAAGGCACTGTGATGGGAGATGAGCAGCCCAACAGTAAACAGATGTCCCATTCACATGGGGGAAATTCAAGGAGATTTAATAAATGAGAGCCAACCGAAATAAAGGCTATTGAGGCAGAAACCATTTGATCAAGGTTTATTCGAAACCAAATGTGAGAATTGACCTAGGAAGACACACCAACAAAGTGGCATGTCCCCAGATCTGTTACAAGTTGGAATGTTTTTATAAGAAAGTTTAGGAGAGGGAAGAGGGACTCCTCTTACCAGGGCTGTCCATTGGAGGGTAGGATGCATAGGTTATAATCATTGGCTGCAGATGACAACATATAGGCTAAAATGCTTCACGAGCAAGATAGTCAGCAAAACTTTATCATTCAGAAACAAATATGTGTCTTTTTCAACGTTAGTTGGCTGCATATTAATCAGTATGTCTCATGAAACAATTTGAGGGACTCACGATAAGACTCTACGCAAGGACAGGATGTAAGCAGTGATTCATAAGACCTTCCCTAGGCGGCTCATTTGGAAGTCTGCCAAATGTGACCCGCAGGTTATCAGAAGCTATGTATGCAGGCGTGGACAGGTACCACAGGAATACCACGGAGCCCAAAGGGCCAGAGGAAATAGTGGTTGGCAGAATCTAGGAGAGTCTTACAGATAAGTCCAGTTTTAGAGAAATGATGATCTCACTCAAGGGACCGCAACAGCCTGAGGCAGCCCTGCAGTGAGGGAGCCTGGGCTTCCTCAGCCCCACACCCCTCCTGGCCTTCCCTTCTCCCCTCCCCCTCCTATTTTCTGCCAGTGTCCTCATTGGTCAAATCCATCTGGAAGCCAGGTGGCAAAGAAGCTGATGGACGAGGCTGATATAGATCAGCCCCCGCAGCAGAGCAGAGTGGAGAAAGGAAGAGAGCAGATTGGGAAGAACAAAATAAAAGCATCCGCCACATCTGGGAATTGATAATGCATTTCCCACAATTGTTAGTTACACCTAGCACATTGTGATACTGTGAGCAAACACAAGAACAATTTTTAGAGAGCTCATTTAAAAAGAAAAGGGCTTCAGAGTCCCTTCTCTTCCTAGAGATGGTAGAAAGCTTTAAAGGGTATTTTGCCTTGTCAGTCGTATATAATTAGGGAAACTGAGACCCAGAAAGCTGAAATAACCAGGGGAAGTCACAGAGCTAGTTATAGGCCTGGGAAGAGAACTTCAGGCCGCTGCTGTTTCCACCAGAGAGATGGCAGATACGGCCCTGGGGCTCCACTCCTCTTTCCCTGAGCAGGGACACACATTGCTAATCAGTCAAGGCATTTTTCTCCATGGAATTTGCCTTCCCTGTCAACACTGACTTCTTGGCCTTTCTCTCGTTGAAAAGCACCTGCGGTCAAGTCCAAACCTACTCACTAACTCTGTGCTCTGCTGCTGTATTCACTGCAAATGTCTCAGTTTTGATTCCTGACAAGAACTAACCCTCTACACTCAGGGACCCCTGACATGTGATCCGAATAGAGGAGAAATGATATAGTTTCAAGGAAATCAGTGTTTTCTACCCAAGGGGGTCTGGCTTTTTGTTTAAGTTGACAAATTTTGGCTCCCTTCAGAACTAAGTTCTCATGTGGTTCAATTCATCGAGGATTTGGTCAGCCTCTATTGTATACTCAGTGCTGCCTAGCTGGGTATTTGTTGACTTTAAAATGTTGAATGAAACTTAGGGAAAAAGATATCCATGCTATCCTCCGCAACCTGGGCTGATCGGGGTCGGGGGGAGGTGCTGTTGCCTAGCTGCGCTCTGCACCCACTCCTGGGACCTGGATCCGGAGGAGCTCTGCGTTTCCCCCTCATTCCCGGCCTCAGTGTGGATGTACTTTCTTTCTCTCCAAGGCCACCTTGCAGCCCTAGACAGCATAGCTTGCATTCCATCTGCTCAAACTAACAAGACCCTAATAAGGCCACCCCACTGTCACCTCCTTGGAAGGTTTGGAAATCTATAGATTTGGGTCAGGATGAAAAGTACGTGAATTTGGTAGGGGGATTTAAAGACGGGTGTGGAAAGTCTAATGTGAGAGCTAGTACTGCTGTGGTCCAAGTTTGAGGTTCATTCAGGGAAGAATGTGTGTGAGCTCCCTGGGGTGAGGAGCTCCCTGGGGTGAGGTGATGGCAGCACCAGCTCCTCACTCAGGGGCAGGTCTTCATGGGCCCCAAGGTCAGATTTAAGGTGATGTTGGGAGTATGGATGCAACCAAACTTGTGCCCTCAATATTTGAGGATTTTCAGAAGCTTTCTCTTTTTTTTTTTTTTTTTTTTTTTGAGATGGAGTTTCGCTCTTGTTGCCCAGGCTGGAGTGCAATGGCACGATCTTGGCTCACTGCAACTTCTGCCTCCTGGGTTCAGGCGATTCTCCGGCCTCAGCTCCCGAGTAGCTGGGATTACAGGTGCTTGACACCATGCTCAGCTAATTTTTTGTATTTTTATTAGAGACGAGGTTTCACCATGTTGGCCAGGCTGGTCAAGCTTGAACAAGCTGTCTAGCGATGAGTCCAGGTTTAGAACCACTCCACCATGCTGCCTCTCTGTTCAGCCAGAGCTACAGCTTTCCTTAGAGTACTTGGGGTGAAGGCGAATGTGCAGGAGTGGGCCCCATCATGAAACCCATGAGCCTAGGAGCTAGACGGCACTGTGTAGGCACTGTGAGTCAGAGAAGAATTTTGACTGACATGATCAGAGTTTTGCTGTAGAAAGGTCTTGAACTCACGACCTCAGGTGATCCACCTGCCTCAGCTACCAAGTGCTGGGATTATAAGCATGAGCCACTGCACCTGGCCCTGAAGGGCTTTCTTCATGGCTCATCGTTTACCCATCCTTCCTTTAACACAGCAGACACTGAGGGTACCGCATGAGCCAGGGAGTGCCACGGGGTGATGAGTGCATCCGGCTCATGCCCATCTCGTTGTTCACAGCCGACATTAACACAGGGCTAGCAAAGCTGAACTTTCCTATAAGATTGGGGAAGTAGACCTAAATGTTGGATACTTTTTGTTTATTTGTTTCTCTGTGTGCTGGCATCTCAATTGTTCTATTTTCATGTGAAGTGCAGCTGCTTTGAGACTCTAAATTCCATTTACAACATTTTTGGGTTGGCCTGTTGTATAGGAAATATTTATTTGGTGACCGCAGCTCCTTTCTCTTTTTGATGCTGAATCAGAAAATACTGTCTATCCATTGAGAATGCTCTAGTTAATGAGAAACAAATGGTGGTCTGAGAGGTACAAAGCTTGTTGACCAGTTTTAGTGAATTTTTATAATTTTCTGTTGCCTTCATTTTGAAAACAGGTTTAACTCTCTTGTACCCAAAGCAGGGCTCAGCTGTGTTTTTGGCACAGTTTCCAGCTCTACGTCACAACCAAATGGCTCAAGCCGGTGGCCAGAGATTAAACAAAGAGGCACCTCTCTCGGCCAGCAGACTGGGCTCCCCGCATTCCCACTGCTTCCTGAAGGCATTTACTGGAGAGCTTAGCGTGGCCCCAACCCTAGTCCCTTATACATACAGCAGTCCTCCTTACCAAAGGTCATGCTTTCTGCAGTTTCAGTTACCTGTGGTACATTATAAGATATTTTGAGAGAGAGAGCACAGTCACTTAACTTTTATTACAGTGTATGGTAAAAATTGTTCTGTTTTATTAGTAGTTATTGTTGCTAATCTCTTACTGTGCCTACCTGATATATTAAACTTTATCATAGGCTTTTATGTATAGAAAAAACATAGTGTATATATGTGTATATACACACATATGTACACCATATATATATACACACACACATATACCATATGTATACACATATATGGTGTATATATGTGTGTATATATACAGATGTATACATATGCATACAGCTATGGTGTATACATATAGGTATATATACACCTATATATATATGTATATATACACCTATATGCATATATGTCTATACACACCTATATACATATATATGCCTATATACATATACATATATATACACCTATATGCATATACGTATATATGCACCTATATACATTTACGTATATATACACCTATATACATATATGTATATACACACCTATATACATATATGTATATACACACCTATATACATATATGTATATACACACCTATATACAGATATGTATATACACACCTATATACAGATATGTATATACACACCTATATACATATATGTATATACACACCTATATACATATATGTATATATACACCTATATACATATATGTATATATACACCTATATACATATATGTATATATACACCTATATACATATGCATACAGCTATAGTGCATACATATATATGGTTGTATATATGTGTATATATATATACATATATGTACACCTATATATATATATAACTTTATATATATATAGATTTGGTACCATCCATGGTTTCAGGCATCCACTAGGGGTCTGGGAACCTATTCCCCAGAGATAAGGGGGGACTACTGTACTGCTAGTTGTCACTCTCTCTTTGCCTGACTCTTCATTCTTGACTTGCATGAATCTTCGAATTTTTTTTTCGTTGTGGAGGTGTACTGAATTTGTACCCTCCGTCTGAATAACCAAGGGCTGCCCCAGGTCAGTTTTTTTTTTCTGAACACCAAGGAGAACACAAGGCTGAGTTCCCAGTGCCACAGCAATGCCAGGCAGGCATAAACTAGACACAGGTCACACAATGGCCACAAGGGCATCTGCCAGCATAAATGGGTTTCCCATGTAAGGGACCCCCGGTCTCAAGTCAGATGACTAGGGACTAGACAGTCCTTCAGGAAAAAAAAAATATCCCTTGAAAGGCACACTGGAGATACCCACGCTCAGCCCCCCTTCCTTTTCCACTAGGGAGCCGTTGGCAGCTGCTCTGGTACTAAAATTTCAGTTTGGCTGGGGGCTCTCAAAACACTAGCCCTGAAGATTTTCTTGGTGAAAATTCAGGGCTTCATCTGTAGTCAGGATATTTCAGAGTTAATTTGTAATTACTGAATTGGAAAATAGTTTGTATCCTGGTTCACAGCTGAAATACAAGGTAAATAGTATTAATGTATTCATCAATACATCAATAATAGAAAATTTCCATAAGTGCTTACTAAATACCAGGGACACTTCTTTTATTATTATTGTTATTATTATTATCATTATTATTATTATTATTATACTTTAAGTTCTGGGGTACATGTGCTGAACGTGCAGGTTTGTTACATAGGTATACACGTGGCTTGGTGGTTTGCTGCACCCATCAACCCATCATCTACATTAGGTATTTCTCCTAATGCTATCCCTCCCCTAGCCCCCCACCCCCTGACAGGCTCCAGTGTGTGATGTTCCCCCACTGTGTCCACATGTTCTCATTGTTCAACTCCCACTTATGAGTGAGAACATGTGATGTTTGGTTTTCTGTTCTTGTGTTAGGTTGCTGAGAATGATGGCTTCCAGCTTCATCCATGTCCCTGCAAAGGACATGAACTCATCCTTTTTTATGGCTGCATAGTATTCCATGGTGTATATTGCCACATTTTCTTTACCCAGTCTATCATTGATGGGCATTTGAGTTGGTTCCAAGTCTTTGCTATTGTGAACAGTGCCATAATAAACACACATGTGCATGTGTC
Organism: Homo sapiens; assembly: GCF_000001405.40. Classification (NCBI taxonomy): domain Eukaryota; kingdom Metazoa; phylum Chordata; class Mammalia; order Primates; family Hominidae; genus Homo; species Homo sapiens. Next base: position 159,284,980 of record NC_000006.12, read on the forward strand.
TTTATAGTAGAATGATTTATAATCCTTTGGGTATATACCCAGTAATGGGATTGCTGGGTCAAATGGTATTTCTAGTTCTAGATCCCTGAGGAATTGCCACACTGTCTTCCACAATAGTTGAACTAATTTACACTCCCACCAATGTATAAAAGTGTTCCTATTTCTCCACATCCTCTCCAGCATCTGTTGTTTCCTGACTTTTTAATGATCGCCATTCTAACTGGTGTGAGATGGTATCACATTGAGGTTTTGATTTGCGTTTCTCTGATGGCCAGTGATGATGAGCATTTTTTCATGTTTCTGTTGGCTGCATAAATGTCTTTTTTTGAGAAGTGTCGTTCATATCCTTTGCCCACTTTTTGATAGGATTGTTTGATTTTTTCTTGTAAATTTGTTTAAGTTCTTTGTAGATTCTGCATATTAGCCCTTTGTCAGATGGATAGATTGCAAAAATGTTCTCCCATTCTGTAGGTTGCCTGTTCACTCTGATGATAGTTTCTTTTGCTGTGCACAAGCTCTTTAGTTTCATTAGATCCCATTTATCAATTTTGGCTTTTTTTGCCATTGCTTTTTGTGTTTTAGTCATGAAGTCTTTGCCCACACCTTTGTCCTGAATGGTATTGCTTAGGCTTTCTTCTAGGGTTTTTATGGTTTTAGGTCTTATGTTTAAGTCTTTAATCCACCTTGAGTTAATTTTTGTATAAGGTGTAAGGAAGGGATCCAGTTTCAGTTTTCTTTGTATGGCTAGCCAGTTTTCCCAACACCATTTATTAAATAGGGAACCCTTTCCCCATTGCTTGTTTTTGCCAGGTTTGTCAAAGATCAGATGGTTGTAGATGTGTGGTGTTATTTCTGAGGCCTCTGTTCTGTTCCATTGGTCTATATATTTGTTTTGGCACCAGTACCATGCTGTTTTGGTTACTGTAGCCTAATAGTATAGTTTGAAGTCAGGCAGTGTAATTCCTCCAGCTTTGTTCTTTTTGCTAAGGAGTCTCTTGGCTATGTGGGCTCTTTTTTGGTTCCATATGAAATTTAAAGTAGTTTTTTCCAATTCTGTGAAGAAAGTTAAGGATAGCTTGATAGGAATAGCATTGATTCTATAAATTACTTTGGGCAGTATGGCCATTTTCAAGATGTTGATTCTTCCTATCCATTAGCATGGAATGTTTTTCCGTTTGTTAGTGCCTCCTCTTATTTCCTTGAGCAATGGCTTGTAGTTCTCCTTGAAGAGGTCCTTCGCATCCCTTGTAAGTTTTATTCCTAGGTATTTTATTCTCTTTGTAGCAATTGTGAATGGGAGTTCAATCATGATTTGGCTCTCTGATTATCTGTTATTGGTGTTTAGGAATACTCATGATTTTTGCACATTTATTTTGTATCCTGAGACTTTGCTGAAGTTGCTTATCAACTTAAGGAAATTTTGGACTGAGATGATGGGGTTTTCTACATATACAATCATGTCATCTGCAAACAGAGACAATTTGACTTCCTGTCTTCCTATTTTAATACACTTTATTTCTTTTTCTTGGCTGATTGCCCTGGCCAGAACAACCAATACTATGTTGAATAGGAGTGGTGAGAGAGGGCATCCTTGTCTTGTGCCGGTTTTCAAAGGGAATGCTTCCAGTTTTTGTCTATTCAGTATGATATTGGCTGTGGGTTTGTCATAAATAGCTCTTATTATTTTGAGATACCTTCCATCAATACCTAGTTTATTAAGAGTTTTTAGCATGAAAGGATGTTGAATTTTGTTGAAGGCCCTTTTTGCATCTATTGAGATAATCATGTGGTTTTTGTCACTGGTTCTGTTTATGTGATGGATTACATTGATTGATTTGTGTATGTTGAACCAGCCTTGCATCCCAGGGATGAAGCCGATTTGATCATGGTAGATAAGCTTTTTGATGTGGTTGCTGGATTTGGTTTGCCAGTATTTTATTGAGGATTTTCGCATCTATGTTCATCAGGGATATTGGCCTGAAGTTTTCTTTTTTTGTTGTGTCTCTGCCAGGTTGTGGTATCAGGATGATGCTGGCCTCAAAAAATGAGTTAGTGAGGAGTCCCTCTTTTTCTATTGTTTGGAATAGTTTCAGAAGGAATGGTACCAGCTCCTCCTTGTACCTCTGGTAGAATTTGGCTGTGAATCCATCCAGTCTTGGATTTTTTGGGTTGGTAGGCTATTAATTTTTGCCTCAATTTCAGAACTTGTTATTGGTCTATTCAGGGATTCGATTTCTTCCTGGTTTCAGTCTTTTTGCGCTGGTTTCTCCCCATCATCCTGGTTTAGTCTTGGGAGGGTGTATGTGTCCAGGAATTTATCCATTTCTTCTAGATTTTCTAGTTTATTTGCATAGAGGTGTTTATAGTATTCTCTGATGGTAGTTTGTATTTCTGTGGGATCAATGGTGATATCCCCTTTATCATTTTTTATTGCGTCTATTTGATTCTTCTCTCTTTTCTTCTTTATTAGCCTGACTACTGGTCTATTTATTTTGTTGATCTTGTCAAAAAACTAGCTCCTGGGTTCATTCATTTTTTGAAGGTTTTTTTTTGTGTCTCTGTCTCCTTCAGTTCTGCTCTGATCTTAGTTATTTCTTGTCTTCTGCTAGCTTTTGAATTTGTTTGCTCTTGCTTCTCAAGTTCTTTTAATTGTGATGTTAGGGTGTCGATTTTAGATCTTTCCTGGTTTCTCTTGTGGGCATTCAGTGCTATAAATTTCCCTCTACACACTTCTTTAAATGTGTCCCAGAGATTCTGGTACATTGTGTCTTTGTTCTCATTGGTTTCAAAGAACATCTTTATTTCTGCCTTCATTTCATTATTTACCCAGTAGTCATTCAGGAGCAAGTTGTCCAGTTTCCATGTAGTTTTGTGGTTTGAGTGAGTTTCTTAATCCTGAATTCTAATTTGATCACAGTGTGGTCTGAGAGACTGTTTGCTATGATTTCCATTATTTTGCATTTGCTGAGTAGTATTTTACTTCCAATTATATGGTCAATTTTAGAATAAGTGTGATGTGGTGCTGAGAAGAATGTACATTTTGTTGATTTGGGGTGAAGAGTTCTATAGATGTCTATTAGGTCTGCCTGGTCCAAAGCTGAGTGCAAGTCCTGAAGAATATCCTTGTTAATTTTCTGTCTCATTGATCTGTCTAATATTGACAGTGGGGTGTTTAAATCTCCCATTATTATTGTGTGGGAGTCTAAGTCTCTTTGTAGGTCTCTAAGAACTTGCTTTATGAATCTGGGTGCTCCTGTATTGGGTGCATATATATTTAGGATAGTTAGCTCTTCTTGTTGCATTGATCCCTTTACCATTATGTAATGCCCTCCTTTGTCTCTTTTGATCTTTGTTGGTTTAAATTCTGTTTTATCAGAGAATAAGATTGGAAACCCCTGCATTTTTTTTGCTCTCCATTTGCTTGGTAAATATTCCTCCATCCCTTTATTTTGAGCCTATGTGTGTCTTTGCACATGAGATGGGTCTCCTGAATACACTGATGGGTCTTGACTCTATCCAATTTGCCAGTCTGTGTCTTTTAATTGGGGTCATTTGGCCCATTTCCATTTAAGGTTAATATTGTAATGTGTGAATTTGATCCTGTCATTATGATTCTAGCTGGTTATTTTGCCCATTAGTTGATGCAGTTTCTTCATAGTGTTGATGGTCTTTATAATTTGGAATGTTTTTGCAGTGGCTGGTACCGGTTGTTCCTTTCCATGTTTAGTGCTCCCTTCAGGAGCTCTTGTAGGGCAGGCCCAGTCGTGACAAAATCTCTCAGCATTTGCTTGTCTGTAAAGGATTTTATTTCTCCTTTGCTTATGAAGCTTACTTTGGCGGGATATGAAATTCTGAGTTGAAAATTCTTTTCTTTAAGAATGTTGAATATTGGCCCCCACTCTCTTCTGGATTGTGGGGTTTCTGCCAAGAGATCTGCTGTTAGTCTGATGGGCTTCCCTTTGAGAGAAAGGTAACCCTACCTTTCTCTCTGGCTGCCCTTAACATTTTTTCCTTCATTTCAACCTGGGTGAATTTGACGATTATGTGTCTTGAGGTCGTTCTTCTCAAGGAACATCTTTGTGGTGTTCTCTGTATTTCCTGAATTTGAATGTTGGCCTGTCTTTCTAGGTTGAGGAAGTTCTCCTGGATAATATCCTGCAGAGTGTTTTCCAACTTGGTTCCATTCTCCCTGTCACTTTCAGGTATACCAATCAAACCTAGATTTAGTTTTTTCACATAGTCCCATATTTCTTGGAGGCTTTGTTTGTTTCTTTTCATTCTTTTTTCGCTAATCTTGTCTTCTTACTTTATTTCATTAAGTTGATCTTCAATTTCTGATATCTTTTCTTCCGCTTGGTCGATTTGGCTATTGATACTTGTGTATGCTTCACGAAGTTCTCGTGCTGTGTTTTTCAGCTCCATCAGGTCATTTATGTTCTTCTCTGAACAGGTTATTCTAGTTAGCAATTCCTCTAACCTTTTTTCAAGGTTCTTAACTTCCTTGCATTGGGTTAGAACATGCTCCTCTAACTTGGAGGAGTTTGTTATTACCTACCTTCTGAAGCCTACTTCTGTCAATTCGTCAAACTCATTCTCTGTCCAGTTTTGTTCCCTTGCTGGCAAGGAGTTGTTATCCTTTGGAGGAGAAGAGGCATTTTGGGTTTTGGAATTTTCAGCCTTTTTGAGCTGGTTTCTCCCCATCTTCGTGGATTTATCTACCTTTGGTCTTTGATGTTGGTGACCTTCGGATGGGTTTTGGTGTGGACGTCCTTTTCGTTGATGTTGCTACTATTCCTTTCTGTTTGTTAATTTTCCTTCTAAGAGTCAGGCCCCTTTTCCGCAGGTCTGCTGGAGTTTGCTGTTTGCCTGGGTATCACCAGAGAAGGCTACAGAACGGCAAAGATTGCTGCCTATTCCTTCCTCTGGAAGCTTCATCCCAGAGGGGCACCTGCCAGATGCCAGCCAGAGTTCTTCTGTATAAGGTGTCTGTTGGCCCCTGCTGGGAGGTGTCTCCCCGTCAGGATACACAGGGGTCAGGGACCCATTTGAGGAGGCAGTCTGACCCTTATCAGAACTCACACTGTGCTGGGAGATTCACTGCTCTTTTCAGAGCCATCAGGCAGGGTTGCTTAAGTCTGCTGAAGCTGCACCCACAGCCACCGTTTCCCCCAGGTGCTTTGTCCCAGGGAGATGGGGGTTTTATCTATAAGTCCCTGACTGGGGCTGCTGCCTTTTTTTCATAGATGCCCTGCCTTGAGAAGAGGAATCTAGAGAGGCAGTCTGGCCTCAGCGACCTTGCTGAGCTGTGGTGGGCTCTACCCAGTTCAAACTTCCTGGCGACTTTGTTTACACTGTGAGAGTAAAATCACCTACTCAAGCCTCACCAATGGCAGACACCACTCCCCCAGCCAAGCTCGAGCATCCCAGGTTGGCCTCAGACTGCTGTGCTGGCAGGGAGAATTTCAAGCCAGGGTACCTTAGCTTGCTGGGCTCTGTGGGGGTGAGACCCACTGAGCCAGACCACTTGGCTCCCTGGCTTCAGCCCCCTTTCCAGGGGAGTGAATGGTTCTGTCTCACTGGCATTCCAGCTGTCACTGGGGTATGAAAAAAAACCTCCTGCAGTTAGCTCAGTGTCTGCCTAGATGGCTGCCCAGTATTGTGCTTGAAACCCGGGGCCCTGCTGGCATAGGCACTGGAGGGAATCTCTTGGTCTGCGGGTTGCAAAGACTGTGGGAAAAGCACAGTATCTGGGCCAGAGTGCACTGTTCCTCACAGCATGGTCCCTCACGGCTTCCCTTGGCTAGGGAAGGGAAATCCCCCAACTCCTTGTGCTTCCCAGGTGAGGTGGTGCCCCACCCTGCTTTGGCTTGCCCTCTGTGGGCTGCACCCACTGTCCAACAAATCCCAATGAGATGAAAGGGGTACCTCAGTTGGAAATGCAGAAATCACCCACCTTCTGCATCGATCTCACTGGGAGCTGCAGCTTGGAGCTGTTCCTATTCAGCCATCTTGCCAGCTGATCTACCAGGAACACTTCTAAGTGCGGATTTATTTCTTTTTAGTTCCTTTTGAAAATTTATGTAGAGTAGAATTCACTCTTTTGGTGTACTGGTTTTGACAAATGCATAGTCATGTAACTACTGCTAAAATTTAAATAGAGAAGTTACCTCACCTGCAAAATCCCTGTTCCCTACCCTTGAGCCTGTCAACCACTGATCTGTTTTCTGTCTCTATGACTTCCCCTTTTCCAGAATATTGTGTAAAAGGAATCATACAGATTTTCAAGTCTGCCTTCATTCTGAGTTCTGAGTCATATAGATTTTCAAATCTGCCTTTGTTCTTAAAAGCATAACGCATTTGAGATGCCTACATATTGTTGCATACATCAAGAGTTTATTTGTTTTAATTCCTGAGTACTATTCCATTGCACAAATATGCCACAGTTTGGTGATGGATTCACTAGGAGGGAGACATTAGGGTGGTATTCAGTTTTGAGTGACTATGACTAAAGCAGCTATAAACCCCCACTTACAGGATTTTGTATGAACATAAGTTTTTCTCTTGGTAAATATTCAAGAGTGGAATTTCACATGATACGTGTATGTATGTTTAACCTTGTAAAAAACTGCTAAACTGTTTTCCGAAGAGGCTGTATTATTTTGCATTCTTACCAGCAATTTATGAGAGTGTCAGTTTTTCTGCATCCTTGCTAGCATCTGGATTTGTCAGTTTGTTTTTTAAAATTTAGCCATTCTAACAGATGTGGTGTGGTATCACATTGCAGTTTTAGTTTTCATTTCCCTAATGATTAATGATTTTGACCATCTTTTGTGCTTATCTGCCATCCAGGTATTGTCTTTGGTGAAGTGTTTTTTAAAATATTTTGCCCATTTCTTTTAATTGGGTTCCTTGTTTTCTTATTATTGAGTTGTAAAAGTGTTTAATATAGTTTGGAAACCAGTTCTTTGTCAGATATATGATCAACATATATTTTATCCCAGTTTGTGGCTTATCTTTTTAATTCCTTAATAGTGTCTTGTATATAGCAGAAGTTTTTTGTTTTTTGTTTTTGTTTTTGTTTTTGTTTTTTTTTGAGACGGAGTCTTACTCTGTCACCCAGGCTGGAGTGCATGGCACGATCTCAGCTCACTGCATGCTCCGCTTCCCGGGTTCAAGCCATTCTCCTGCCTCAGCCTCCTGAAGAGCTGGGACTACAGGCGCCCACCAGCACGCCTGGCTAATTTTTTGTATTTTTAGTAGAGATGAGGTTTCATCGTGTTAGCCAGGATGGCCTTGTGATCTTCCCCCCTCGGCCTCCCAAAGTCCTGAGATTACAGGCGTGAGCCACTGCGCCCGGCCTATAGCAGAAGTTTTTAATTTTGCTAAGGCCTAGTTTATCACATTTTTTCTTTCACGGATTGTGACTTGGATGAAATATTTATGAAATTACAAAGACTTTCTTCTATGTCTTCTTATAGAAGTTTTATAATTTTGTCTCTTACTTATAGGTCTATAATCCATTTTCAGTTAATTTTTTTCTAAGGTATGAAGTATAAGTTGAGGTCATTTTTTTTCCTGCGTATGAGTGGTGTTGCAAGACCATTTGTTGAAAAAAACCTAGTCTTTCTGAACTCACTTACCTTTGTTGAAAATCAATTGATCATATAAATGTAGGTATATTTATGGCCTCTCTGTTCTGTTCCACTAGTCTATTGGTCCATCTTTATGCTAATACCACACTGTCTTTTTTGTTTGTTTTTGTAGCTTTATAGTAAATCTGAAAATCAGGTAATGTGAGTTGTCCAGCTTTTTTCTTCTTTTTGCAAAATTATTTTGGCTATTCAAGTTCTTTTGCCTTTCCATGTAAATTTTAGAATCAGTTTGCCAATTTATAAAAAGCAAAAATTCCTGTGAGATTCTGATGGGATTGCATTGAATTTTTAAATGAGTTTGGGAAGATTTCACATCTCAACAATAGTGTCTCCCAATCCATGAATATGGTATAATCTTTCAATTTTTTTAGCTCTTGATTGATTTCTTTCATCTGTGTTCTTAGTATTTAGTATACAAATCCTGCATATATTTTGTTGAACTTATGCCTAAGCACCTTCTGTATTTTTTTGGCACTACTGTAAATGGTACCTTAAAAAAAGTTTTGATTTCTAATAGTTTACTGCTAGTATATAGAATTAGAATTCATTTTGTATGTGCACTTTGTATCCTCAACTTTGCTAAACTCACTTATCAGTATGAGAAGATTATTATGTTGTTGACATCTTGGGACTTTCTGCATAGACAATCATGTCAATATAGACAGCTGTATTTCTTTCTTTCCAATCTATATATACCTCATTTCTTCTTGCTTATCACTCTATCTCGAACTTCCAGGATGATGTTGAACAGGAATGGTGAAAGAAGACATCTTGCCTTGCTCCTGATCTTAGGAAGAAAGCATTCAGTCTTTTACCACCAAGTATGATGTTGGCTGTAAGCTTTTTCTCTAGATTCTCTTTATTAGGTTAGGAATGCTCCTTCTTATTCCTGGTTTCCTCTGAGTTTTTATCATGAGTGGATACTGAATTTTGTCAAAAGCTTTTACTGCATCTATTGAGAGAGTTAAATACTTTTTATTACCCAGTTTATTGATATCATGAATTACTTCATTAGATTTTCAAGTGTGTAAACAGTCTTGCATTCTCAGGATAAACCACACTTGGCCATGATGCATTATTATTATTAATTATTTTTATTTAAGTAATGTATGTTAGCTTTAATTTGCTGATATTTTTGTTAAGCATTCTTGCATCTATGTTCACTATGTTCATAATGAACTTGGGTTTTCTTTTTGTACCAGTGAAATTCTGGCCTCATAAAATGAGTTGTTAAATGTTGCCTTCTCTTCTATCTTTTTGAAGAATTTGTGCAGAATTGCTTTGATGTCTTCCTTAAATGTTTGGTAGAATTCCCCAATGAAGATTTTCAGAGATAGAGATTTCTTTGTTGGAAGACTTTTTTTACAAGACGTTTTAAACTGCATGTTTAAATTCTGTAATAGACATAGGGCTATTCAGGTATGTCTATTTCATCTTAAATAAATTTTGGTAATGTGTTTGTGTCTTTAAAAACATTGGTCCATTTCATTTAAGTGGTTCAGTTTATAGTATAAAGTTTTCCACATTATTCACTTATTACTGTTTTAATATCTGTATGGTCTGTGGTGATGTCCCTCCTTAATTTCTGACATGAGCAACTTTTGCTTTCTTTCTTTTGGTTAGTCTGTCAAGATGCTTAGCAATTTGGTTGACGTTTTCCCAGTACAAGCTTTGGTTTTAATTTTGATTGTTTTGATGTTTTCAACTTCATTGATTTCTGCTCTAATCTTTATTATTTTCTGTCTTCTTCTTGCTTTAGGTTTAATTTATTTCTCTTATTCTGAGAAGGTAGAAGCTTACATCATTGACTTGAGAACTGTTTCTTTTTTAATATGAATATTTTAATGCTGTAAATTTACCTCCAAACACAGCTTTAGCTGCATCTCACAAATTCTGATATGTGTTTTCATTTTCATTTAATTTATAGTCTACGTTAAATTTTCCTTTGAATTTTCTCTTTAATCCATGGGTTATTTAGAAGTCATTGGCTTAAATTCCAAGTATTTCCTTAAAACATGAAATTACAGTATACTACATGGATTTCAAAGTCTGGAGAATGTGGGAGGAATCCTACAGAAGAAATAGCTGGAGAAGGGGTTTCCTTATTTCCCTATAGAAACCTGTATAAGTTCCAGGCTCATCTCCATGATATACATGCAAAAGACCAAAGCAACATTGTAAAGGCTTTGAGAACTGACCTAAGATTTAACACCATCTAAGTCTCAAGCTAACATCTGAAGCTAACATCTGAGCATGCATGAACAGACACAGAGTAGCATAACTAAGGTTTTGGAAGCTGGCATAAGATTAAGACCATTGCCTGCAGAAGGAGAGAGAGAATTTTCTGTCTAAACCTAAATAGGTTAATTGACTTACTCTAAAATATCAACATTCTTCAGAGGATTATAAAGGGACATAAGAATGAAAATCTCCACAACACAATCCTCACAGTGTCCAGGATACAATCAAAAACCACTTCACATTCTAAGAAACGTCCTCAAGAAGGGCCACCGAAAAACAAAGCCAAACCCAGAGAATTCTGATCTTAGGCCACTGTGCTATTAGCGGCTCAGTCAGGAGATGTTTGCTCCCCACCTCGAGGCTTCTCCATCCTATGCTCCAACCCTCAGGGAATCAGAAGTTAGCAAGGGGGTTGGGGAGAGTAGGAGCAAAGGCAAGAAGAAGCAGAGAAAAGACATGAAATGCAACTCCATTTCCAGGCAGCAAACCTCAGATATGATTTGAATGCTGGGAAAAGATTTAACTCTAAATCAAGCTTGAAACTGAACATGTTCATTAATAATTGAGGCTTCTTTTCCTAGGAGTAACTTAAGGCTTTTCTGTTACTTAAGAGTGACTAGAGATGTCATGAAGTCTGATGCAGTTTTTATTCAAGGAAAGAGAAAGATCTAGCTCTATTAAATAAATGTCAAGGTAAAAGAAAAAAGAAGAGAGTTTCTCTGTGATTTTATCCCATGAGTCAGTTTTGTTTAATGTAGTGGTTGCATCTGAGTTCCTTTAAAAACTGCAATTATACTACACTTGCGGCTGTTTTGTAACTTCTTTTTTTCATTAACAGTATGTTGTCAATGTCTCCTTGTATACTAGATAGTATTCTGATATATGGGTGCAATGCAATTTACTTAATTTTCTGTCATAGGAGAGTTAGTTACTTAGAGACTTAGTTCCAATCTCTCACCATAATAAATAAAACTCTTAATGCATCTTTTTTCACTTATCTGTTTTTTTCCCTTTAAAGTCCTAGAAATGTAATAGAGGAGTCAGAGGGTCTACATGTTCCTCTACGAAATTTTAATGGCTTACTTTCTCACCCACAATATGTGAGCATTCTCATTTCCTGAAAATCTTACCAACACTAGATTTTCTCAGTTTTTATAAAACTTTTGCCAATTCTGTAGGCCAAGGAAGTACCTGCCTACGGTTTCGATTTTCAGTTCTTCACATCATAGTGGGGTTAAATATCTTCTCATATTATTTGTCTTTGGGCCACAGCCTTATATGCTATACTAAACTCTCTAATTCAGAAAATAGAAGATGAGTTGTGAATTCTGGCTGTACTGAAACATTGTTGCTGATATCTACTTTTTATCTCGTTTCTCTTGACTGGAATCATATCAATTCACTGAAAAAAAATCAGGCAACCTTAGAGATGGTCTCTAGTTTCTAGAAAGTAGAAAGTCTGAGACGCTAACATTTGTTAAAAGAGGAAGGCATCCCCAGAAACTTACTAGTAAAGAATTTCTAAAAAGATGGAATTTGTATTTGGAACACAATTCTTGCAAAATATCTTTAATATCATGGTCTCTTTTCTTCCTTCTCTTAATTCCTTTGTTATCCAGGAAGTAGATTTGATGATGCTATTTGTCCGTTAACCCCAGTGCTGTATAACCAGGGTTACCAGATGTCCCTATTTTGCCTTGAGGGGTCCTGGTTTAAGCTTGTTGCCCCAGCATGATCATTAAAAGCACCCACTTTTACTCTCATGAGTGTCTCCTGATTTTAATAATTTTAATAAAAACATTTGAATACAAGAATCAGTAATAAATAATTTATTAAAATGTTAAATGATTGCAATATGTGGATTGATTTTATTAATAATTAATGTGTTTGAGGTACTTACTTTGTGCCAAGCACTGTTCTAAGTACTCTTTTTTAATCCTCACAACACAGCTTTAGGTAGATGGTCCTAATCTGTTTAGTTTATAGAGATGAAAACTAACAGTGACTGCAGAATGCTAGATGGCGAAGGGGAGACTGAGGATTTGAACCCTGGAGGCCCGACCTCAGAGTCCAGGCTTTTCACTCCCTTGCTGTACATAGGATGCAGCAAGGATGGATGGAGCTTTGGCAACATAACTCCCCCCTCTTCCTTTAGCAACAGCATTCCCAGGATTTAGCAGGGCACATGCCTCCCTTATGGCCATCTCACTAAGTTATGGCCAATGGGGTAGGAACAGAAATGATGAGTACCTCCAAAGATCATGACCTTACAAAGAATGGGTATTTGCTCTCCTTGAAACTTCCACCTTCTCTTTAGCTGCAATTCAAACATGATGGTGAATTCAAAGCAGCTTTGTACTCTAGAAGCTGGTGTAGAGGTTGGCAGAAGGTCCCTAACAGCACTGGTTGCTGCCTTTGGACTGCTGTGTGAGAGAGGGGAGAAGTCCTGTCTTGGTTAGCCTGTTATATTTTAAAGTCTTTGGGGCATAGTAGCTTACACTGTGCCTTAAGTAATACAGATCTCATCTGCCTATAGTGACAAATAGGGTTCTGTCCAAAGTGCAGAATTCACTACCATTATTCATCTCCACAAAATGAAAGCAAATGAAGAGATTGGCAAAAAAGATATTTTTAAAAATCTTGACTATGGATGCTCAACAAATGTACATATTAATGACTACATACAATTTTTTAAAATATGGTTTTCATTCTCTGCATCTCTAATAGTTTTCTTCAGATGCTATAACAAATTACCACAAACTTAATGACTTAAAACAGTACAAATTTATTCTCCTACAATTCTGGAGGTTGAAAGTTTAAAATCAGTTGCACTGGGCTGAGGTCAAGGTGTCGGCAGGCTGGTTCCTTCTGGAGGCTTGGGGAGAATCGATTTCCTTGCCTTCTTCAGTGTCTAGTGGCTGCCTGTGTTCCTGGGCTTGTGGCCCCTTCCTCCATCTACAAAGCAACCCACTCTCAAGCTTTACTTCTGCCTTTTCCTTTGACTCTGAATCTCCCCCGCACCCCTTTGATAAGAACCATTTTGATTACATTGGGCTCACTCAGATAATCCAGGAAAAATCGTCCCCTCTTAAAACCCTTAACTTAATCACATCTGCAAAATCCTTTTCGCTGTGTAAGATAGCATTTGCAGGTTCTGAGGATCAGATGTGAACTTATTTGGGAGCTGCTATGCACCCTAAAGCAACATCTATGGAATTTATTGACTTCATCTGAGGGTAAGAGGATAGACATTTTCTCCTTTGATTTGACCTGTGGTTTTAAGTTGATGTATGGCCAAGGCAACTCCTATGTCCTTTGTTAACATTCCCTGAAGGAAGATGTCCACAGTCTTTAGCTGGACTAATTTAAATAGATCAGCAAATAAGAACAATGGCATCAGAAAAAACGGGTGAATTCTGGATACTTGGGAATGTAGATCCTAAAGAAGGATAAAGGCACAGGGAAGGTTTTTCTATGAATATTGGTTACATGGAAAACTTGAGACTGCATCACCTCTCAGTTTGTGCTGAAATTCTACTAAGACATCTTCAAGGAATGAAGTTAGTTGTGGAATTTCATAATTTTGTAATGTTTTATTTACAAGATATTATTCGGAAATACTTACAAAACAATATTTTATAAACAATGAATCAGTTTAGGAGCAGAGTAGTTATGCTTGTGATTTGAGACCCACTTACTGGACTGGGTACCTTGTCTTCATTCGTCAATGTGAACCCTCTCTGTCTCCTTTTCTCCATTCACAAAATCAGGATATTGACATAATAACTAACATTTGTTGGGAAGTCACTACATGCCTTGGAGTCACCCTTGACTCCTGTCTCACACATACCACATCCAATCTGTCAGGAAGTCACTTTGATCTGTCTTCAAAATAACTCCTGAAGCCTCATGGCTACCACCTCCCTCAGAGCCTCCCTCCCGCTCCCCTGGGCACTGCAGGAGCCTCCTAGCTCATCTCCCCACTTCTCCTCCTGTTCCTTGTGCTCTCAACATGGCACCCAGAGTCATCTTTTTATAACAAAAGTCAAATGCTGTCACTTCTTTGCTCATCAGCTTCCAAGTGGCCTACGTTGTATCAGTCTGTGGCCTGTTAGGAACCGGGCTGTGCAGCAGAGGTGAGCGACAGGTGGCTGAGCATGACTGCCTGAGCTCTGCCTCCTGTTGGATCTGTGGCAGCATTACAGTCTGTCTATTGTGAACTGTGCGTGCGAGGGATCCAGATTGTGTGCTCCTTAGGAGAATCTAAAGCCTGATGATCTGAGCTGGAACAGTTTCATCTCAAAATGATCCATCCCCATCCATGAAAAAATTGCCTGCCATGAAATGGGTGCTTTGTCCCAGAAAGGTTGGGCACCGCTGGCCTGCAGGACCTCCAAGACCTCTTGAGCATCAAGAGCTGGCTGAGCTGAGAGCAGAGTTCACAAGTGTCAAAGTGGCCGGCAGAGACAGCCAGCTGCAGTGAGCCTCAGGCAAGCCTTTCGCTGCCCTGTGCGATGGCATAAGCAAGGGCCACACTGGAAAAGCACTGGTTCCCTCCTGTCCCATTTGTCCCCACAGGACAGCACCAGGTCAGTGGGTCAGCACAGATGTGGAGACCCACCAACGCAGAAGGAGCCTGTCTCAAAAGGCTCCTGAGATTTTGTGGAGTGAGGAGCTGGGTGAAGAAGAGGAGGAAGGACTAAGAGAGAAAAAACTCTGAGTACTGAGTCAGAGTAGAGAAAAGTGTCCCCAGAGCCCCCTTCCCTGATGAGGAAGCTCAGCAGGGATGCTCAGGGAAGGCCCCAGTAGTTGGGCCTTCATGCGGAGGGGCCTGCAGATGTGCCTAAGAGCACGACCTGCTGGGGCCAGAGTCCTGACTGCAGCTCCCTTGGGAGACTGCAGCACCTGGGCTGTGCACCAAGTCTGGTGTGGGGAGGGCCAGCTGACCCCATGCAGCCTGCCAGGAGGGCCTTCCCCATCCTCTATGATCAGGCTTCACCACCCAGTCTCAGGCCAGGTCCTTCACAAACTCCCAGGGGATCCCTGGGAGACAGCAAATGGAGGCCTCACACTAGGTGTCTGAATGTGAATTTACAAACCAAGTTAACTTTGATAATCAGCAAAACCTCTCCACTCCTCCTACCTTGACAGATATACCTCAGAACTAAAAATGCCATGGAAAAAGTGACTAGAATACATGTAAAAATAAGTATGTATACATAAAATAAATGTACAAAGCTATGGTTTTACGTGACCAAATGTCTGGAAAATATTAAAGATGATGACATTTCATAATTATTCTGACCTCTTGGTGTGCTGTTGATGGACTGGAGATGTTTGGATGAGTTATAGAGACATTCATAAATTATTTTGTATTTATTCCATGTTTTTGGCCCACATTTCAGAAACATTATTGTTATAACAATTTTTACATAACTTGTGTTCTGTTGGCAGTTGTAATCTAAGCATTAAAATTAAAATGTAAATATAGTCAAAGTAGACAAAATTTTAAGATAGCCTCTTCAAAATTTAAATTAAATGTAAATAATTAAAAATTAAAAGATTTTTCACATTTCTAAATGAGTGTTTTTTGTTTTAAATTATTTATAATTATCTATTAAGATATAGAGCAAAATATAAAATACAATTATTGATATACAGTTTAAAATAAATATGATTTACATAAAGCCAAAAGTATTAGTTTGGGATATTAATTAAAGCACAATAAATATGTTTAAAACTATTGAATTATTTTGCAACTTAAGATCCAAAATCCATTTATGTGCCAATGGAAAGAATTGCTACAGTTGTCCATGCATGCTTTGTTTACACCTAAATATGTGTAAACCTGAGTCAGGTGAATTGTCTAATATTGCAAAATATTCCTCAACCTCCATTTGTAACTGTTGGAAATACCACCTAATTTGTGACACCCTCCAAATCAAGAATTAGCATATGAAGAGAAGGAAAGAGATAGACATTTAACACCACTAGGAAAAGAAAAACAATTCATTATGCAAGAGTCTATGCATTTATGTTGAGGATTTGGTAAATTCATTAATTTATCTTTTCTCTTGCCTACGTGCTTCTGCTGCTTAACTCTCTCGGCACTGATGTTGGCCCAACGACCAACCTTTGGGCTTTGGAACAGTCACCTCAAGTTTCCAGGACAGGGGGTGAGAGATGCAGAGAAGTGTTTCTGGAGGAGTTACTTAGAAGAGCGGATGTTTAGGGCTCCGGTCTCACTGTACCAGGTCTGAGCCCCAGATTCTCAATGCGTTGTGTACCAGGTCTGAGCCCCAGATTCTCAACGCATCTGAACACCCACGCATTGTGTCAGAGAATTTATTCTGGTGTGTGCACTTGTGATAGCTGAAGGCCTCTAAAGCATGGGTCCTTGGGCAGGTCAGTCCTGTCTTGCACTGGCTGCTGCCTTTTTCTGGAACATTGTTCTTTTTGATATCTGCAAGGTTAACATTCTTGCTCAAATGTCCCTTCTCCTGGAGGCTTATTCCTGATCTACGCCATTTGTACACACTGCCTCCTGAGATCTGTCTGTTCTTATCTCTGGTTCACAAAAACCAAGGCATGAGAGGTTAAGTAACTTTCCCAAAGTTACGCAGTAGGAGGTGGTAACATTGTGGTAATAACCGGTAAGACCATTACGAGGGCTGAGTGAGATAATCTGTTTAAAGTGATTAGAACAATGCCTTGTGTGTGGTAAGTATTCAATATATTGCAACAATTTTTTTTTTTTGAGTTGGAGTTTCACTCTTGTCGCCTAGGCTGGAGTGCAATGGTGCCATCTCAGTTCACTGCAACCTCCGCCTCCCTGGTTCAAGCAATCCTACTGCCTCAGCCTCCCACGTAGCTGGGATTACAGGCATGCACCACCACGCCCAGCTAATTTATTTGTATTTTTAGTAGAGACACCGTTTCACCATGTTGGTCAGGCTGGTCTTGAAGGCTGGTCCTGAACTCCTGACCTCAGGTGATCCACCCGCTTTGGCCTCCCAAAGTGCTGGGATTACAGTAGTGAGCCACCATGCCTGGCCACATTATAACACTTTTTACATGACAAACAGACTGTTCCTTGGTTCTCTGGTTGCTGAGAAACAACCACTCTCATAAATGCATGTTGTTTGCTAAGTTGTTTTGTGACGGCATGGTGGCTGAAACCCTGGCATTGTTCTGGGCTCATTAATCACACAGAACCATTGTTGAAAATACTGTGGGTTTGATTAAAACCTCAAATGCATTTGTGCAGCTCCCTTTCCTCAATTTTGAATCCCACCCACATGTTGATGGAAACGTGATCCTGTGTTGCTGATCCATGCTCATTGACTAAAATGGTATTCAGTCGGAGCCAAGAAGACTGTCTTTTTCTTGCAAAAAAATGCCTAAAGTCACATTTTTCAAGTGGGAAATAACAAAAACCTTAATTCAATCTGAAACACTACATCACTAATTTTCCACAGATTCTGATCTGGGCCAATATGAGTAATCCTCAACTTGTGTAAGATTCATAGTTAAGAACTCATGTTCCCTGTGTGTGTGGTGATCACCAGTGCAAACCAAACAGTCCTAAATTCATTTCTCCCGAAGAAGCCATCACGGCCTTGTAAGAGTTTTCCAAAAGTCCTGTCAAATATTCCTGATACAAATCTCCTTAAAGAAAACCACCGGAATTTTTGACTGTCATCAAATCATTTCCTAAATGTCTTACCTATTTATAGAAATAAATTATATGTATACAAGATAGAAATTATGAAGAGCTATATATGTCTGTTTCTATGGCAAAATCAAGTTAGTTGTACGGTGTATTTTAGGGGAAACACTTTCTCAGTGCATATGGCTCTAGAGCTTTATTCGGCATTGTAAACACACATGCAGAGAGCCTGCTCCCCCCTTGGGTAACTTTTCCTTGCCTCTATTTAATGATGCCTGCCTCAGGGTGTTTGTAAACACTGTCGAAGAACATGAGAACTGAGCTGCTGTAATTATGCATGTCGTATTGTATAGGCCGCACAGAAGGTGGAAAAACCTATTTTAAAAAAGGATTTTTAAAAAGGATTTTTAAGATCTCAGTCTCTGCTTTATATTAATTTTCTTCAATTTGAAACAACCAAAACCTGTTACCAAATTTGAGATAAAATTAGACTGTTGATTTTCACATGTATGAGAAGATACAGAGTATTTTGCTTATTAAACATATGAAGTAACTCAAAGATCCCAGGAAAAGTGGTTGTGTTTGCCTTCCCTGCTGAGCAGACCCGGGGCCCTGTCAGCAGTAGCTATAAGGGGCACACAGGCCCTTCCACACATAGGCATTGCAAAGAGCATCTTAAACTGCATCCACTCCAAAGTTTCTTTTCTCTTTTGGAGTTAGGAGGAAAATTAGATATAATAAAGCATTGAGAATCTTGTTAGGAACATGGGAGGGAGGCTGCAGGTGGAAATAAAGGCAAGGAAAGAGGGAGGGCTGGAGGGCTTTGGCCGCTGAGAGTTGTCATGCCCTCTGAGTTGGGTCTGCAGCTGTGAAGGTTGACCTGGATCTGTCAGTAGGATGTGAATGGCCTGTGTGCCCTTTGCAGAAAGATGTCCATGGTGTGCAGAGCTCTTCCCTGTGGGAGACATTGCTGTCTTATTAATGAATGGGTACAGGACGTCACTGGGACTGTCATCAAATATTCTGGTTCTCTCTCTCTCTCTTTTTTTTTTTTTTTTTTGAGGCAGAGTGTCGCTTTGTTGTCCAGGCTGGAGTGCAGTGGCGTGATCTCAGTTTACTGCAAACTCAGTCTCCCGGATTCAAGCGATTCTCCTATCTCAGCCTCCCAAGTAGCTGGGACTACAGGAGTGACCCACCACGCCTGACATGGTTTCACAATGTTGGCCAGGCTGGTCTTGAACTCCTGACCTCTAGTGATCTGCCCACCTGGTCCTCCCAGTGGTTTTCTTCTTTCCAAGCACACTCTGTGGCTGAAATTCCTGTTCTTCCAGTGGAAGTGATGTGCACCAGCTCCTGGAAGGACCGCCTCACTGCCGGTGGGAGGCACTCCAGCGCCCCCTTTTCCTGCTTTGGAGGTTGTGAGGTGAGTGTGGTGTGGACCCCTGACCATCTGGGCCCTGGGTGAGCACCAGGAGCAGAGCTGCCAGCCGGCTTAGTGTGCCCATGCACACGAGCACAGTCCAGCCCTGTTGTGTTGCTCCTGTGATTCCCCAGCCTGTCCTGACTGCCGTCTGCTGTTTTGGTTTGCCCAGCCTGTTTCCCCCACTCAGATAAATGCTCCTCCATCTTCCCTGAAAAGTAACCAGAGGACCCACCCATTCCAGTCTGATTTGGGTGGAGCTGCTCTGATTTGGTTCCTTCAGCCCCAGGAATAGATCCATAAAAAGGGTCAGGCACCTGAGAGTACCCCATCCTTTTAAAATTCAGGATGTCCATGATTCAAGGTCAGTTAATGAGCATCCCCCCAGGACTCTTTCTGCAACATTTTGTAAAGAGGTGCTCCCTGTGCCTCTGGGTTGGTAGGCTGATGCTCCTAGTGGTCACCTCCCCACCAACTGGAAGATATTAAAGCAAATACAAAAGAAAACAGACCCAATATATGAGAGAAATGAGTTCCCGGAGACATAATTTGAGTCCTTGGGTCCAGCTATGCCTGAAATAATGCCCTCGGTAACATTACAGTTACCTAAGTCAGTAATGTTGCTTTTACGGAGAAGTCAGTCTGAGTGGGTTTCTGAAACTTGGACCTGAAAGAATCCTGACTAATACATTTAGGAAAAAAATGAATGACGGGGAATTCATAGACATACCCAGCTCTTAGACTTCCCCTAAGACCATACTTTTGCACCATAAGTGCTAAGTGAGAGGGGAAGGGGGTGGATCAAAAGTTAGGAGCTCTTGTTCAGTGAGGTAAGGAAGAGGTGTCTGGCTGAGGAGGGGTGAGGGAGGAGGGAGGAGAGCCAGGGTAGGCACAGGGTTTTAGTCAATGATCCTAGAGTCTGAAACAACATATTTACAGCTTCTTGAATGTCCTTCAAGAGATATCAGACAATGATAGAAGTCCTTTTCAATCCCATTTGGCTCTTAAACTGAGCTTCTTGAACCTGCTAGTGCTCTGTTTCTGAGCCATATGGGTCTCTGGGTTTATAAATTTGGTGTCTATTTGTAGAGTGCAGTTTGTAGGACTGCTTTGGTGGAACACTTTCTTTCTCCTCAGTTCCAATTCCTCTGTTTATAACTTTTGTTTTGACTTAAAAAACTTCAAAAATCTCTACAGACTTTACTTTTATCCAGTATTAACATTCTCAGAAAAATGATAAAGAAGTATTAGAAAAGGACTAATATGAGATCGTAGAAATGTCCAAGTTTTGAGTATGATTTTATAAAAATAACAGGCTAAGAAAAAGATTCTGTTTTATCAGGAAACTGTTGTTAGAAAGCACGAGTGTTGCGTTTCATAATGAAATTTGTGCTGAACAAAGGTCCCTTGTGTTTGTTGTCTTAACTGACTTAGAAAGTTTCTGGAGGGCGAATTTGGGTTAGTTTTACAGACAGTTGATGATTTCCGCATGCATGAAATACCTGAGAAATTTAACATAGACCTGACCAGAGAGCCTTCTGCTCACCAAGTCAATACCATTATGGTTGGCATTTTGGTTATTATGCTTTTTAATGTTATTTTGAAGTCTTAAACATACAATGCTAATGTTTAGGAGGCTATATATGAGTAAATGAATAATAATCCAACCAGCATAAATGTTATTTGAGATCTAATAAGATCAATAAATACTGGTTGCCCCCAAGCTGAAAAAAGAAAAGGACAGAAAAGACAGTTGACGGTTAATAAATTAATACTCTTTTTATTCTTGGTGAGACCCTTTCCAAAGGATTTGTCTAGTTTTTTCCCATTGGAAGAGACTTGGAAAGAATTCAGGGGAAGAATTCAGGAGAAAAAGTGTCTAAAAGGAAGAGGTAAGAAACCTGTGAAGTTAGTTTCATGGAAATGAGAGCATCTCTCTGAGGAAGTTAGTTTCATGGAAATGAGAGCATCTCTCTGCAGAAGAGGAGGCAAAGCTGTGACAGAGACTGGCTTTAAGTATCTCACAGGGGGCTGGTGGTGACAGGCTGCTAGCCAGGGGTTCTCCATCTCAGGAAGAACAAGAAAGATTCAAGCCAAGGAAGAATTTAATGGCATACAGAACGTCTAAGAAAATTGCATTCTCATCCAAGAAAATATTTTAAGTACAAGGGACTTTCTTCTTCTTTGTAAGGCTCTGAGGAAAAGGAGGAGCAAGAGGGCTCCTGAGACCTGCCTGTTGCAAAATTGAGGCAGGACTCCAGGCCCAGTATCTCTTCATGCCTTTAATTGTGCCCACCCACAACTCTCCAGAAAGGGTCGCTGTTGGAATGTGGACACCCAGGGATGGGAAACAATAGAAACCACTATAAAACCACAGGTTACTGGCGCAGGAAGGGACCTTGGTTCCTTCAGAGTCCTCTGACCTTCCTGGCACTCAGCAGGCTTTGCAATGAGATGTTGTTTAATGTCTGATGTCCTCCCTAGATTATGAAACTCCAACCCAGTGCCTGGAGCTCTCAGCAGTCAACCAATATTTACTGAAAGAACAAGTGGAAGAGTGCAACTCTGTTATTTACAAACGAGGAATCTCAGACCCAAGGGGCTCACACAGTTGGTTAGGGGCAAAAGCATTTCACTCACATCTCCCATATTTCATACATGGAGGATTAGCACCCAATTCAGCTAACTGTAAATCCCAGCCAAAAAGGGAACCATTTTCTAGATAGGGCCTAATGTATTTTCAAAGTATAGATCTTAAATTGCAGAGACTTGTCTTTGAGTTCCTTATAAATTCAGGTCAAAAACACGTATCGGGATACTACTCTGGAAATACTATATTAATTACACCCTCCACCCCAGGATTTCTTTCTCCCTCTTTCTTCTCCATTGTAGCAGCTAGTGTTGCTGTGCTCATTGTCTCAGGATGGGGATATAGTGGTGTGAAATGCAGATGTCCATTCATTTATGCAGCTATCAATTCATTTCACAAATACTTACTGTGCCTCATGCTGGACACAGATCTCAACCACAATGACCAGGCTGTGAACAACGGAACCCATTACACTCTTCTGGCTTTGTGTTTCCAGAGTCTCCAGTGGAGGGAAAGAGAGGGTGCAAACATCCACAAAATGTTGGTTCTTTTTTTGCTTTTTTTGAGACAGAGTTTCACTCTTGTTGCCCAGGCTGGAGTGCAATGGCTCCTCCCGGGTTCAAGCGATTCTCCTGCCTCAGCTTCCTGAGTAGCTGGGATTACAGGCATGCGCTACCATGCCCAGCTAATGTTTGTATTTTCAGTAGAGACAGGGTTTCACCATGTTGGCCAGGATGGTTTCGATCTTCTGACCTCATGATCGGCCTGCCTTGGCCTCCCAAAGTGCTGGGATTACAGGAGAGGCCAGGGATGACAAACATGGGGCAACCATACCATATTTCCCCCTCCCACATCCATGGCAGACATTGCTAATCATTGCTGCATAATCTCTGTGGCCAGTGGTGGCTTCAGGATCTTTCTCAGTCAGTCACTACCAATCAATCAGTACTGGCATGCTAGCTAAGCCTCTTATTCATTCCTGGAATAAATTACATAAATGCTCAGAGGGTTTCCAAATTGGAGAATTTCCTCTGGGACTGTGCCTGTAGGTTTTGTACTTAAGAAAATAAAGTAGCTTGGTAATTACAAGGATTTTTTGGTCAAGAATGGATTAAAACAGCATGAATCTTTACTGAATTTTTTTCCAGTTGAGTCACAACATGAATTTATACAGTATTGCAAAGAAGCATTTGAGAAATTAATCAGAGTTTTGAAATCTGAAATTTAGATAAATCTGCAAACTGTATTGAGACCCAGAATAACAAGATTCCATTGTACTTTGCCACTCACTAATTATGCTGTCTGGGGCAATTCTCCACCCTTCCGTACATTTCAGCTTCATGGTAGGGGTGGGGAGTGTGAGTAACCTTTTAAAAGCTTGTTTTTTTCCCCCCAAAATGATCTAGATTCAGCATACTAATATAAATGATAGGTAAAAATGTAGCAGTTCTGCTCGAAGCTGACATTTGGAGCCTGGGTCCTGACCGCGATATCCTTCCCCTTAGCCTCTACCTCAGTTTTATGGAAGTCTTTGGAATATCTGCAATTTGAGGAACTATTTTGGAAAACTGCTAGACAAGAGATTCTTTGCATACTCTTCCAGTTCAACACATTTATGATTGTAAATCAGCTAGGTCTAATTCAATATGGTTGTGCTGGGCATTGATTTAAAATAACAACCTCTGGAAATCAGTTATGTTGGGGGAAAGTTGAACAGTGGAAGCAGAATGTGCTTTGCTCCATTTAGAGTGGCTTACTTCCCCACTCATTCGTGGAGTCCTGTTTTTGGAACTTCTGTGCAGCCTGCCTGGTTGATTTTATGTCATTTTGCTCTCACTGCAATGTGATGCTGTGAGATCACCTCTGTGTATATAAAAGGAGAGGGATGAATAAACTTCTCATGGAATTGGAGGCCAGATTTTTAACTCCAGTCTGTTTTTAGTATTTTGACATTTTCTTCTTTTTTTTTTTTTTACTGACACATTAATCTTTTATTTCCTTAAATAGTTTTGAACAAACTTCAGAATTGTACATCCTTTTAAGAATAGAAGCACTCCAAAAATAAAAATGAGCTTTCCAGTTCATTTCCAGCCCTCCTTGATTAAAATGCCCTTTCTCGCTTGTGTGGACCACTGGCCTTCTCATGCCAGATACCCACAAAGGACCTGGGTGGACTTGGTTGTTTCCTCATCTACATAAATAAAAGAGGATACAAAGACATTTTCTTCTTGACGTCAGTTGAGTAACACATTAAAAGCCTTCCCAAGGTCTGAGTTTATTATAATGCCATGAAATTGGTTAATTGGCTCCTGCACCTCCTTGGGCCATCGAGTTCTGAGTTTGGGCCTCTGAAACTCACTGTTTGGCTAACACTTATTTAAAGCTGGTATATGTAAATGTGAAACAATTTTTAGAAATAAGAAGCAGAATCTTTATGTTCAAATGATAGAAGAACAAGTATCTGTTGATGTGGTTCTTGCATCCCAGGGTCTAGAGTTGCATGGGCCTTGACTTAACTGGGGAGAGCTGCAGGTGTTTATAGGTTACTAACTTCAACTGTTTATGGATTCAGTCCTGCTGGATTTGAAGTTGGAGTCATACAAGAAAAAAATGCAGATTAAATCATCGAACACCATCCTGCTTTTTAATTGCTTGTTCCTAAATAGCTAAAGGCAATCTGGGATATCCCTCCTGGGACAAACATTCACAATGAATTTTCCAAGCTCAAGGATTCTGAAGAAATGGGATCAGCTATAGGGAATCTAGGGCCTCAGCTGGGCATGTAAGTAGCAAAAAGTCCATCCAGATAACTGAGTTTGGCCAAAATCCAACAGGACTAGAAGCCTGCATCACCATCTTTAACCTGTGCTGGAGGAGATTAACATTTAAATCTTTTTATATTTATTTTTTGAATGATAATTATCTTTAAAAGGGGCAAAGTAAAAGATAATTGGCATACATTGGCCTTCCAGCTTAGGAAGAGGAGTTTTGAAGCTGATGAATGTACCAGACTTATTAGAACTTGCATTCCCTTCGCCTGGCCTCAGAGTGACATGTTGACAGCTCTCCAGCACCCTGCTTGAACTTCTTAGGGCACTGGGCCATTCCAGGGTCATGGTGCCTTCCCTCCTTTAAGGTACATACAGCTGAAAGCAGCTCTCAAGTGTGCTTTTAGGAAATCCAACCTTGGGCCCACCTTAGACCTTTTGAATTGGAATACTGGAGGGTAGGTCCTAGAGAAAAGTCAGTTTTTAAGCTGCCTGTGCTATTTTGACATCTTGCCTAGTGGAATCCTACTTGTCTACCAGAGTTTGGCTTAAGCACTGCTTCCCTGACTCTGTAGCATGGGGTGCCTGGCACATCCCAGTATTGAATAAATGTCTGTTGAGTGAACAAATAAATGAATGGATCGGTAAGTGACTGAGTGAAGGTCAAGGAAACAAATAAATAAGAAGCCAAGTTTGGGAAATACTACTGGGGGTAAAAGTCCCATCTACAGATTAGCTTTTCTGATCTCTGCTAGCAGCATACTCCTTATAATAGGATATATGTATGTTAAACTTGCTCTGAATAGGGGCCACATTGCCAGCCTAACAGGGGCAACCTATGTTACCAGGAGGCTGATATTACCCAAGTGACAAGTCAGAGTCTTGTCTGTCTTACATTATCCTGGGTCTCAAAAAGGACCATAGTTACTGGGGGAGCTCCTATATTGATGTGATGGTTAATATTGAGTATCAACTTGATTGAATTGAAGGATGCAAAGTATTGTTCCTGGTGTATCTGTGAGGGTGTTGGCAAAGGAGATTAACATTCGAGTCAGTGGACTGGGAGAGGCAGACCCACCCTCAATCTGGGTGGGCATAATCTAATCAGGTGCCAGTGTAGCCAGAATAAAGCAGGCAGAAGAACGTGAAAAGACTAGATTGACTTAGCCTCCAAGCCTACATCTTTCTCCTATGCTGGATGCTACCTGCCCTTGAAAATTGGACTCCAAGTTCTTCAGCTTTGGAACATGGACTGGCTTCCTTGCTCCTCAGCTTGCAGATGGCCTACTGTGGCACCCCACCTTGTGATTGTGTGAGTTAATACTCCTTAATATACTCCCTTTTATTAGTTCTGTTTTATTAGTTCTGTCCCTCCAGAGAACCCTAATATAAGTGATAACAATGTTATAACACAGCAATTGTCAATTAAGTCACCACTGTTGATAATTTACAACTCACTGAATTCTGTCATGAGTGATGTTCTCCCAACACCAAAGCAGTGGGAGGGTCAAAGTGTCGGTCAGGCTGAACTTTATATGCATAGAGTCACAAATTCAACTGTTCCAAGGAACAGTTTCCTCTCGGCAGGCTGTCTTTAGCGTGATATACACCAGGCCAGGGCGAATGTGTGAGATCTTGCTGGTTTTTGGGTAGTTCGAAGATAACCTAATTACAGGGCCCAAAGAATGGCGAAACAAGTCACCCTGGGTCATGGGCTAACTTAACAGGCACAATTGAGACAAGAAGGGACAGATGGTGGTGGAGGTTTATAACCTTTCTAGAAGTCAAGATAGGCAAGAAGTGGAGTGGCTGAGACGACCTAGGCCAGGCCTGCTGGCAGAAGCTGAAGCAAGCTCTAGGGACTAAAGTTAGCACCTAAGAAGGGTCTGGAAGCCAGAATTACCAGGTCTAGCATAAACCTGTGGACAGGGGTCCAGAGCTTTAGTTGGGGTTTCGAAGATCTTGACCCATCTCAGAGGACAGCCCAGGTTCAAAGTGGACACAACCACACACCAGAGCAGCTGGACACCTACCCTACACATTTAATTTCACCAGAAAGTTATAAAGTCAGTATTATAATCACTGCCTATTGCTGAGATGGGCAATAGTTTCAGATAATAGCAGTAACACAGTTAAGGTTTGTTGAGTATTCATACTGTATTAGCATGCATTAATTCACTTGATTCTCAAAATCCAAAAAATACTGAATGTCCAATGTAGACAGGGAATTGAGCAAAGTGCTAAGAATTTAAAGAGAAATAAAACATTGCCATCACCCTCATGAGCTTTGAGTCTAGCACAGTGGTTTCCAATAAGGACAATTCTGCCTCCCAGAGAACATGTAGCAATGCCTAACAGCCTTGGCTGTCACGGCTGGGGGAGGGTTCCTAGTGGCACCCAGCAGGCTGGGTGCCAGGATGCTGTTAAATACCTCACAATGCACAGGATGCTGCAGCAAAGAGTCATCCGGCCCCAAATGTCAACAGTGCAGAGCTTGAGAAACCCTGGTGGACAAAGTGGAATCTACACGTACACCTGTAAGTGCAATGGGGTGTCCCTTGTGAGGAGATGAGGATGTATAAGATGCAGTGGGAGTTGGATAGAAAGGATGATCAATTGTACTGGAGTGTGTGCAGGGAGCCAGGGGGTGCAATGAATGGAAAACGCTCAAGAAAGAGTTTGGAAAGATGGGTCTTGAGAGATGAGGAGGCGCTACCCCAGCAGCCGGGGTGTGGGTCAGGCAGCATCCTCTTAGCAGGGGCAGATGTATGAGCCAAGACCAGGGGCATGCTGTGGCCTCTTAATGCCTGGAGAAGCTGTCAAGTCCTTGGTATTAGGTTCCATTCAGTTACAAAAACTACTTTTTGAGATGTTTAAATACAAAGATAATCACATATCAGTTTTGCCCTCAAAGAGCTCAAATTGTATAAGACCAGCCATATCTCTAAATCAAAATAATTCCTCTTGGCAAGGTTTTGTTTTGGCACATAACTAAGAAAACATTGTAAGTTAGAAAAGTTCCCAGTGTTGATTCTGACGTGTATTCTAGACATTCACTACTGTTTGATTCACTGGAAAGGGTTTAAGATCAAGCCAGTGAAACCAATTTTCCTTTGTGAATGCTCTGAGTTTAGTCTGAGAAGTACAGGAAGTTAAGAAACTGCCCAGTAAGTTTCCTTTGCAAAAGAGGGCCTAATGAGATCAAGAGCCTATAAAATATTTTTGGAATTTGCTAGAACTTCTTGCACTTTCACCTAGGGCTGTCACTTTGTTAATAACATTTTCTTACTTCAGTCCCATTACATAGGAGTTGTCAGCTAACCAAGCCAGTCCTCTCTGCTGTAGATTCACTTATTAACAGAGGGCAGAAAGATGATTTACAGAAATGTTGGCTTGTATAGCCAGAATTTAAATGTACTCCAATATACTAAAAAAAAAAAAAAAAAAAAATAGCAATGAGATGTCAGGATAAAGAGAAAATGTACTAAGGGTTACATAAAACTCTCCTTGATGTGGCAAACAGACTTTTCTAAAACCCTGGTATTCAAACCCTCTTCTTATGGCCTAGGATAGGGTTACAGGGACATCATGTGCTTGATAATTGATCAAACCATTTGAAATAACAACATAAAAAGTTAAAGCTTTGACAAGCTTGATGCTTTTCAGAAGACAGCCAACTTGCAAAAGTGCTGATGTGCATCTTTGCAAAGTTCTATAAAATTGTGGTGGGAAAAGGGAAATTTATATTGGAAACCCTCCACTCATCAGCTGAATTTCCACTGCCCTATTTACCAGGCTGTCTGGCTAGCTGTTGGCTGGCTGTGATAGGGGCGAGGACAAAGCCCGCTCATGTCCAGATACAGGAGGTTGCACCTCGGCCAGCTGCCAGAGAAGT